>NC_000022.11:31285321-31436836 GCF_000001405.40 Homo sapiens | reverse complement strand
TCCCAAAAAGGTAAGACCAAGTTCCCTTCCATTTCAGCCGCTTAAGTTAGCACTTTCTGCTAAATGCAGCTAAACGTGTTCTAACTAGTTAAATGGCACAGAACAATGGATCTGTTTACTTGTAATAAAGTCAGGAAAGAAACATGGAATATGTAAAAGCACAGGAAATTCAAATCATGCTATGACAGCCAAACCAGTAAAGTCTTAGAGTTAATGAGGAGAAAGCCTTTAGCTGTACCTCCACAGTGGCCATACCCTAGGCAGCATTCCCAATACCAAACATACCCCTCTCCCAGAACTGCTAAGTCTAAGCCCAGAGGAGAAAGGGAAAGGTAGGGTAATTCTCTCCTCAAGGAGACCAGGGGTCCCTGGACCAAGCCATGGGGAGGGTGCTAAATGATGGACACAAAGCCTATTCACAGAACATCCTGAGGCCTTAGGATGAACTGGATTTCAGCAACCTTCTCTCCCCAACATTCTGGCAGTGCTAAATGCTTGCTCAATGAAAGTGAATTTTGGCAAGAAGAGTCCCCAGAAACCCAATATGTTCTGGCTGGAGAACAAACCTTCCTGGAAATCCCGTAGCTCAGAAAGCCAATGTTTCCCTGTTCCCCTGCAGGGTTGGGGCAGGCTCTAGACCACGGCCTCTATCATGAATGCACCAGTGGTATCAAGGCCGATATTCTGAAAAGTAACTAGCATACCAGGCTTCAGGAGCTTACCTTCCAGGTCTGGGGACAGTGACAAGCCCAAGCTCCAGGAAGACTATCAAAGGGAAACAACTGCTATTAGGGCAGCAGGAGAAACAAGCACTGGAGAGAGGCTGAGTATGTGAATAATCCCACACTGTGATCACTCATGACCTGCTAAAAGCTCTGGCTTGCCTCATTTGAAGAAATAATCAAATTCTGTCTTGCTGCAAACCTATTCTTCCTGATTTTCTCAGGGACTACTCCATCCATACTGAAATAATGTTTGACTTCTTCCCAAGAGCAAGTTAGTTAACAAGTTTAAGATTTCTCCCCCATACTTACATGTCCATACCCTCCCTTCTGCCCATATTCTTTAATTATTTAATTTTTATTTCTTGGAGACAGGGTCTCACTCTGTCACCCAGGCTGGAGTGCAGTGGCCCATCTTAGCTCACTGCAGCCTGGACCTCCCAGGCTCAAGCAGTCCTCACCTCAGCCTCCCGAACAGCTGGGACTGCAGGCATGCACCACCATGCCCACCTAATTTTTTAAATTTTTTTGTAGAGATTGGGCCTCGCTATGTTGTCCAGGCTGGTCTCGAACTCCTGAGCTCAGGCGATCTTCCTGCCTTGACCTCCCAAAGTGCTGGGATTACAGGTGTGAGCTACTGGGCCCAGCCCCCTCCGTCCATATTGTTACCCACCACACCAAGATTTTCATCAACCAGTTTCACATAATCAGAGCAATCCCCTTAAATTCCTATATTCCTAGTCCCCCAAATATCTGATTATGTCCTTAGCATCCTCTCAAGTAGTCCTGACACCAAGCCTCCTCCTAAACCGCCCACCTCCATATATACACATATGTGAACACACAAACCTGCTTTGATCACACCAGTTGCCTCACTTGCAATGCACCTTCGCCCAAGTTATTGGCTGAAGCCAGGACTTTCATGGGGATTCAAGCAGAAAGTCTGGGTTATGGGAAAGAAGGCATTTAGTTGGCCGGGCACGGTGGCTCACACCTGTAATCCCAGCACTCTGGGAGGCTGAGGCAGGCGGATCACCTGAGGTCAGGAATTCAAGACCAGCCTGACCAACATGGAGAAACCCCATCTCTACTAAAAATACAAAATTAGCGGGGCATGGTGGTACCTGCCTGTAATCCCAGCTAATCAGGAGGCTGACACAGGAGAATCGCTTGAACCCGGGAGGCGGAGGTTGCGGTGAGCCGAGATCATGCCATTGCACTCCAGCCTGGGCAGCAAGAGCGAAACTCCATCTCAAAAAAAAAAAAAGAAAAAGAAAAAGAAAAAAGCATTTTAGTGGCCCAGGTGGCAACATAGTTCAGCTCAACATTCAACCCAACACTGATGATGTACAGCTGTGCTCTGCATAGGGCAGACAGCCCAGTAAAAGGCTCGGTGCAACAAAAGCCAAGAGTCATTGAGTACTTACAAATTGCTTAGCACAGTATTTGACATATAAGTACCATCTCCCTCCATTACTAACAATCACCACCGCAGAAAGTAAGTGCTATTACTATCCCCATGTTACATGAGGAAACTGAGGCTCATAAAGGTTGGGTAATTTGTTCAGGGCTCCACAGCTAACTAGAGGTGGACCTGCAATTTCAAACCCTGATCTGCCTGGTCGGAGTACTTAATTACATGATCTCCCAAAATAGGTTAGCCTTGCGGGGAGTGATCAATTAACTTACATAAAGTCCTTCCTCTCTCCAGTATCATGTGGGAAAGACTACTTGAAAGGACTGAAAGCCATATCTAGTTTGGAAGGGGTTCCCATAAGTAAACATCAAGTAAGATGCAGCATGTCATATTTTTATCCATTTCACACTCAAGATGAAGTTCCCAAGGATCCCTTCTGTAGCTGCTTCACCGTATATACCCTTCCTCATTCAGCCCATCCCAAAACAAATTCTGACAATGACACATGAGCTGCATGTAGCTGACCAGCCTACCAGATCTTTTATGCAGTTCGACATACAAGGTGACACCAAGGTAAGACAAATGAAGTTCCAGTTTGGGTGCCTCCATCTCCCTCCCCTGGATCCTGATCCAGTGACTGCCAAAACCAGAAAGAACTGGGGTAGGGTGCTTGATCATGGGGAACGCTGTTGTGGTTCGTCCGGCAGATGGGAAAAGGGAAAGGTTTCACTTCTTCACAATTTGAATGACATCCTCATCCTCCAACGTATGGTCTTTACCCACTTTCTGAGGATTGTGTTTCACAGAGAGACCCCAGACCAGAGCACTGCATGGAAGGGAAAAAGAACAGTCAGTGTAAATAATAACCTAGCTTCTGCCCTATTTGCCTGGATGCCACCCTTCTGCTCAGATTTAGTATCATACCCTTAAGAACCATAGACCTACAAAAGCTTTATCTTCCCTAGCAGCATGAGACACTGAAGCCTTAACATAAAAGCCGGTAAAGACTTCTGGAAGTTGTGTGGTTCCTCTTATTGCAGAAAGTCAAAGACAAAAAACATGTTTAGTATAAAGAGCCTAGTTTAAAATTAAAAGAAAGCATGGATTTGTTATAGAGAAATACTCTGGGCCGGGCGCAGGGGCTCATGCCTGTAATCCCACCACTTTGGGAGGCCGAAGGGTGCGGATCACCTGAGATCAGGCGTTCAAGAAAAGCCTGGCCAACATGGTGAAACCCCGTCTCCACTAAAAATACAAAAATTAGCTGGGCATGGTGGCGGGTGCCTGTAATCCCAACTACTCGGGAGGCTGAGGCAGAAGAATGGCTTGAACCCGGGAGGCGGAGGTTGCAGTGAGCCAAGATCATGCCGTTGCACTCCAGGTTGGGCAACGAGCGAAACTCCGCCTCAAAAAAAAAAAAAAAAATCCGTCTTTAATCTTCATAGAGAAATACCCTGAAAATTTCAGACTGATTCTTACAGATACAATATCACTTATAGACTGTTAGAGAATACCTGTTTTTGCTGGGTTTCCTGAAACCATCAGTGGGTACTGACAAGAAATTAGGGCCTCCCTCTTCAGCCATGCCAGGAAAATCTTCCTCCCTAACCAGAAACTGTAATTGATATGTCCTCCCGATTTACTGGAATATGTGAAGGTAATTTATATCCATGGGCCTCCAAACTTAAGAATATGTTGTGCTAGAGATGAAAACTGGTGAATAAGACACCGAGACCTGCCTCACAGAGACTAAGAACTATGTACCAAGAGTAAAAAAGGTGGCCATATTGTTGTTATATTATCATTGAGTCAAAACCTCTTTAAAAAATCTATATTCCAGGCCGGGCACGGTGGCTCATGCCTCTAATTCCAGCACTTTGGGAGGCTGAGGCGGGCGGATCACGAGGTCAGGAGTTCGAGACCAGCATGGCTAATATGGTGAAACCCTGTCTCTACTAAAAATACAAAAATTAGGCCAGGCGTGGTGGCTCACACCTGTAATTCCAGCATTTGGGAGGCCCAGGCGGGCGGATCATGAGGTCAAGAGATCGAGACCATCCTGGCCAACATGGTGAAACCCCATCTCTACTAAAAATACAAAAAAATTAGCTGGGCGTGGTAGCGCGCACCTATAGTCCCAGCTACTTGGGAGGCTGAGGCAGGAGAATCGCTTGAACCTGGGAGGCGGAGGTTGCAGTGAGCCAAGATCGCGCCACTGCACTCCAGCCTGGGCGACTGAGTCTCTCTCAGTCTCAAAAAAAAAAAAAACACACACACACACAAAAAACACAAAGCACAGAGTAAGGGATCAGTGTGGTCAAGGACATGAAGGAAATGGAAAAGGGATAAATGTTATAATTAATTAGGCCTGAAGATGAAAGTTTTCTATTATTAAGAGAGTTGTACCAGTCTGGGCAGCATGGAGAAACCCTAGCTCTAGAAAAATAGAAAAAATTAGCCAGGCATGGTGGTTTGCACCTGTAGTCCCAGCTATTTAAAAGGCTAAGGTGGGAGGATCGCTTGAGCCCAGGAGTTCAAGGCTGCAGTGAACCACGATTACGCCACTGGACTCCAGCCTGGGCGGCAACAGAACAAGACCCTATCTCAAAAAAACCAAAAAGATAGTTGTGCAATAATTAAAGAAAAAAAAAAAAACAGTAAAATAAGAGCAAATAAAATCCTGTTTGCTTCGATATGTTTCTTATCTGAGACATTTTTCTCCCCTTTTTAATTCCCTGGTAAATTTAAAGTTCTGAAGGTTTTGAACAATGTTTTGCCACCATAGAAGGAAAGAGCTATATATAAATCTACAAAGTTTGAAAAAGGACAGTGTTTAACTTTTTACAAAAGTCATCTTTACCAGTTAAAGTAACTGCCAAAGCATAATGTTTTGACTGTGGTGGAAATTAGCACTTACATGTGGAATATAGTTGTTTTATATGTAAGGATCTGAAGGTCAATAAAGGACTTCACTCTCTCAGTACTCTTAGGATCAGAAACAAGTTTTTTCTTTCTTTGGTTGGTTTTTTGAGGAAGGGTCTCAGTCCGCTGCCCAGGCTAGAGTACAGGGGGCATGATCATTATCTTGGCTCGCTGCAATGTCAACCTCCTGGGCTCAAGCAATCCTACCTCTGCCTCCTGAGTAGCTGGGACCACAGGTGCCTGGTACCATGTCTGGCTAATTTTTTTATTTTTGATAAAAACGGGGTCTCACTATATTGCCTAGTCTGATCTCACACTCCTGGACTCAAGCAGTCCTCCTGCCTTGGCCACAAAGTGCTGAGATTACAGGCGTGAGCTACCACACCTAGCCCTATTTTCTTCTTTTGTTTTTAACCCTTTTTCCTATTCAGAAAAAAAAGTGCGGCGGGCACAGTGGCTCACGCCTGTAATCCCAACACTTTGGGGGGCCGAGGTGGACAGATCACGAGGTCAGGAGATCGAGACCATCCTGGCTAACATGGTGAAACCCCGTCTCTACTAAAAATACAAAAAATTAGCCAGGCATGGTGGCAGGCACCTGTAGTTCCAGCTACTCGGGAGGCTGAGGCAGGAGAATGGCATGAACCCGGGAGGCGGAGCTTGCAGTGAGCCGAGATCGCACCACTGCACTCAGCCTGGGCAACAGAGCAAGACTCCGTCTCAAAAAAAAAAAAAAAAAAGCGGGGGGGGGGGGGGAAGGCCGGGTGCAGTGGCTAGTGTCTGTAATCCCAGCACTTTGGGAAGCCAAAGCAGGAGAATCGCTTGAACCCAGGAGTTCGAGACCAGCCAGGGCAACATAGGGAGACCCTGTCTCTACAAATAAAAAAAAAATTTGCTGGGCATGGTGGCATACACTTATGGTCTCAGCTATTCAGAAACTGAGGTAGGAGGATCGCTTGAGCCTGGGAAGTCGAGACTGCAGTGAGCTGTGACAGAGCCACCGCACTCCAGCCTGGGAGACAGAGAACCTGTCTCAAAAATAATACTAAGTGGGAAGGCTAAAATGAACCCTGTAGTGGCCGGGCATGATGGCTCACGCCTGTAATCCCAGCACTTTGAGAGGCCGAGGCGGGCGGATCACGAGGTCAGGAGATCAAGACCATCCTGGCTAACACGGTGAGACCCCATCTCTACTAAAAATATAAAAAATTAGACGAGTGTGGTGGCGGGTGCCTGTAGTCCCAGCTACTCAGGAGGCTGAGGCAGGAGAATGGCGTGAACCCGGGAAGCAGAGCTTGCAGTGAGCGGAGATGGCGCCACTGCACTCTAGCCTGGGCGACAGAGCGAGACTCCATCTCAAAAAAAGAAAAAAAAAAAAAAATTAACCCTGTAGTATTGAACTAGAATCAGAGATAACAGTATAAACTCATGGTTTTTAGGAAAGATGGATAAATGATGGATAGTGAGGAAGGATAAGACAGATACAGAAATACAGTTGTGTATATAAGCATCATTAGTATCCATACATGTATTTCCTAACTTTATTTGCTGAGAGGGCCTACAGGCAATGATAACCTACTTGCTAACAATGAGCATGCTTAGCACCCACATCTTGAAAACTGGGGCTCCTTGGAGAAGTGACTAATTTTCAGGGCTAGTGCAGGCAAAATCAATGTCATTTGGGAACATCTAAGTATTAACACTATCAAAAAGTAAGGAAAGGGTGGCTGATGCCTGTAATCCTGCACTTTGGGAGGCAGAGATGGAAGGATCACTTGAACCCAGGAGTTTGAGAAGCCTGGGCAACATTGCAAGACCCCATCTCTACAATAAATAAATGGCTCATGCCTGTAATCCCAGCACTTTGGGAGGTGAAGGTAGGCGGATCACTAGAGCCCAGGCATTGGAGACCAGTCTGGGCAACACAAGTCGGACCTTGTCTCTACAAAAAAAATAGAAAAAACTAGCTGGGCATGGTGGCGCACACTTGGAGTTCCAACTACTCAGGAGGCTGAGGCAGGCTGAGGCTTGAGCCCATGAGATCAAGGCTACAGTGAGCTGTGATCGTGCCACTGCACTCCGGCTTGGACAACAGTGAGACCGTGTCTCAAAAAAAAAAAAGGAGCTTATCAAAAGAACACAGGGGCCAACATGAAAGAGTTCCTAATGGCCAAAGCTTTGTAGTAATTTGAGCAACAAAATAATAATAGTATTAGATTACATCCTATAGAATAAAATAACCAAGAGCTCATACTGATAGGAATTATGAGTTAAATAAAGAAGTGGTAGCTCTAACACACAGAAGTCCAATAAATAAATGTAAAATAAAAAAGGAAAATAAAGAATCACCATTAGGCCAGGCGTGGTAGCTCATGCCTGTGTGTAATCCCAGCACTTTGGGAGGCCGAGGCAGGCAGATCACCTGAGGTCAGGAGTTTGAGACCAGCCTGACTACTAAAAATACAAAAATTTCTACTAAAAATACAAAAATTAGCCGGGCACGGTGGCACACGCCTGTAGTACCAGCTACTCAGGAGGCTGAGGCAGAAGAATTGCTTGAACCCAGGAGCCAGAGGTTGCAGTGAGCTGATATCGTGCCACTACACTCCAGCCTATGGCTAGGTAAACACCATAGCCATAAATGTCACAAACAAGCCTCACCAGTAGATGCTAATAGCAGGCAAAAATTTGAAGAGAAAAAGGACTTTCACAGTCTCAAAAGTACCCCGAGATACTTATAAAATACGGAGAGAAAAATACTACCTTCACGGCAGAGAAACCCACCCTACACCAACTTAACCAAGTAATCAATGTGAATATTATCATCGGTGAGGTATATCAACATCATGAATCTCATGTAATGATACATTGAGAAGAACATATCATTATTTTTGTGGTATTCTTACCAAAAATGCATAATCTCATTTCAATCATGAGAGAACACTGGACAAACTCAAACTAAGGAATATTCAATCAAATAACTAGTGAACACTCTTCAAAAGTGTCAAGATCATCAATGACAGTGAAAGTCTAAGGAAATATTACTGGTAGACTAGAACACAAGACTACAAACAAGCAACAACTAAATGCCACACAGGTTCCTGGAACACAAAACAGACACTAGTAAAAGAAAAAGTAATAAATTTCAAATAAGATCTATAGTTAACAACATCATACCAATGCTTATTTCCTGTTTTTGATAATTTTATAGTAATGTGAGCTGTTAACATTAGAAGTGGGGTGAGAGATAAAAGGAAACTTTGGGCTGGGCGCAGTGGCTCACGCCTGTAATCCCGGCACTTTGGGAGGCCGAGGCGGGCAGATCACAAGGTCAGGAGATCAAGACCATCCTGGCTAACACGGTGAAACCCCATCTCTACTGAAAAATACAAAAAAATTAGCCGGGCGTGGTGGCGGGCACCTGTAGTCCCAGCTACTCGGGAGGCTGAGGCAGGAGAATGGCATGAACCCTGGAGGCAGAGCTTGCAGTGAGCCAAGATTGCGCCACTGCACTCCAGCCTGGGCGACACAGCGAGACTCCGTCTCAAAAAAAAAAAAGAAACTTTGTGCTGTATTTGCAACTTTGCTATTGGTCTAAAATAAGTTCAAAATAAAAAATTAATATGCTGGGCATAGTGGCTCACACCTATAATCCTAACACTTTGGGAGGCTGAAGCAGGTGAATTGCTCGAGCTCAGGAATTCAAGACCAGCCTGGGAAACAAAGCAAGACCTCGTCTCTAATAAACATTTTTTAAGGCCAGGCACGGTGGCTCATGCCTGTAATCCCAGCACTTTGGGGGGCTGAGGTCAAGAGTTCAAGACCAGCCTAACCAACATGGAGGAACCCCGTTTCTACTAAAAATACAAAATTAGCTGGGCATGGTGGGTGGCACATGCCTGTAATCCCAGCTACTCAGGAGGTTGAGGCAGGAGAATCACTTGAACCCGGGAAGCATAAGTTGCAGTGAGCCAAGATCACGCCATTGCACTCCAGCCTGGGCAACAAAAGCGAGACTGTCTCAAAAAATGAAAAATTAAAAATTAGCCGGGTATAATGGTGTGCACCTGTAGTCCCAGCTACTCAGGAGGCTGAGGCATGAGGACTGCTTGAGCCCAGAAGATTGAGGCTCCAGTGAGCTATGATCTCACCACTCCCTCCAGCCAAGGCAACAGCAAGACCGTCGCAAAAATAAAATAATTTTTTTTCAGCCTGTGTCAGCAGTGAAAAATGTAAGAGATTAGGGAGGTTTTGCCCATGTTTAAGGTTTAGAAGGGGGCTCAGTACCCAGTAGAGGCCAGTGTGACATTGGCAGGAATTATTAATATTTGTGTTTGCCAAGAGGAAGATGAAATAATGAGGGAAGGTCAGGGTTGTTTGTGTCATCAGGCTTCCTGACCTAAAGAGGTTTCTAGAGCTCTTCCTATTCTAATTAGGCACGGTTTTAAGAAGACACTGCAGAGTTCTAGCCAAGCAAACATTTCAGTAGCCTCCTTCCTGCCTTCTTTTTTAAAATGCTATCCTAAGAATTACTAGTTAGTAAAATTGGTAACTCATAGGAAAAAGGAGGGACCACAGGCCCATGATACTTACTATTTAAATTCTTTGATAAGATTTTTGTGAATCTTCATGCAGAAATCCTCCACTGTGGTCCTGGAGTAAGGAAGCACCACTGGGGATGTGTAATCTGGTAACTGGCCTTTGGGTTTGGTGTAACTAGAATAGAGAGGGCATAAAGATTACTGCCTTCTTAGACTATCTCATGTGTTGAATGTATAGCAACCCTCCATCACCCCTGACATCAGACCAGGACAACCTCCAACTTAAGGGAAAAAGTGTCCTCAATATGACCTAATGACCTAGTAGATAATAGGAACCAATTTACTTATATTTTCAAAAAGAGCCAGATTTTGTTAATGAGCTCCAGAAAGTATCATTTTAGGACAGTCTGGTTAATTCCTATAGCAACATTACCCTATCCACAAAGACTTACATTCTCACTAGTTTCAGATAGTCCCAGATCTTTTCCAATAGGTCATCAAAATTCCAGCGGTGATGGGCAGAGATGGGTACACAGTGAGGCACCTTATAGATGATATCCAATTCCTCAATGGAGATTTGGTCAATCTTATTTAACACATAGATACAGGGGATATAAACTCTACAGAAAGTGAAGAAAAACAGGGTATTAGTCTGGAGTTGTTGACAGAACTGTCAGACTGTTGAACAGCACACCCTCACCCAGACCCAACTGGCGCTCCCAAGAGGGACTGTAAGTAGCAGATCAGCCAGAAAAAGAAAAAAGAAAAAGAAAAAGTGAACTATGGGTTGAAAAGTAACAGAAGTCAGGCCCTAGTACCAGCCACAAAGCTAACTGCTAGGAAAGCATACTGCAGTGGAAAGAACACAAGCTTTGAAGTGCTCAGACTGATTCTAATCCCAGCTGGCCCTCCAAATATGCAGGTTTTGCATCCCTGAATTCAACCAACTGCAGATCAAAAACCCACAGACACGGAGGGTCAGCTGTACTATACCATTTTATATAAGGGCCTTGAGCATCTGCAGGTTTCATTATCTGCAAGGGGTCCTGGAAGCAATCCTCTGTGGATATGAAGAGGTGATGTTATGTGTCCCTAGGAAAGTCACTTAACCTCTGAGTCAGTTTCCTACAAGGCTGTTTTAAAACATAATTTATACTTAAAGACTAAAAAATAAGTGTTTTATTTATTGGTACAATAAATAATATTGGTAAAACTGATATAGCATCTACCAATGTCATATTCCTAGTGTCCAATCAATATGACAGCTAAGGTTACTACTAATTAGGCAAGCCACAACTTCTCAGGTTTAACTGCCTCACTTGTAAAATGCCTAACTGAAAACACTGGCTTCTGTTTGTTTTCAAATGAGGAGTAAGTACACTCATCCAACATACAGGAACAAATGACTAGGAGAGCAACTAAAAATATTACATGCAAATGCTATGAGTAATTTTAACAGTGACTTAACTTATTAAAGTCTCAGTAATATTAATGGGCTGGGCATAGTGGCTTATGCCTATAATCCCAACACGTTGGGAGGCCAAGGCAGGCAGATTGCTTGAGCCCAGGAGTTCAAGACCAGTCTCGGCAACGTGGTGAAACAACATCTCTACAAAAAATACAAAAATTAGCCTGGCTTGGTGGCACACGCCCATAGTCCCAGCTACTCAGGAGGTTGAGGTGGGAGGATGGATTGAGCCCGGGAGTTCAAGGCTGCGGTAAGCCGTGATCACACCACTGCACTACAGCCTGGGCGACAAGAGCATGACTCTGTCTCAAAAAAAAAAAAAAAAAGTAATGTATCATGAAACAGATATTCAGCTACATACTCTTAGGATGGAGAAAACAGACACAGCCTGGCCTGCTCGGACTTCTGTAGGACACAGCCTATATAACTTCTCAGGTGGATTAATTCTGGAAGAGCAGACTGACCTACTACTTTCTTCAACTATCACATGACAAAGTTTAGGGGGCAGCTTAGTTTACAGCAAGTAACTGAAACGGAGAATTTCATAGGAAGAGGCTGTAAAAGAAAAAAACTGAAATGGGGAATATGACCATCATAATTAAATTTAAAAGCAAGGAAGGATGTCAGAAATAAAAACTAATCCCTCAGTTTACCCCTAAAGAAACCAAAGCCAGCAGGCAGGGTGACTGACGCCTGTAATCCCAGCACTTTGGGAGGCAGAGGCAGGCAGACTGCCTGAGGTTTGAGACCAGCCTGGCTAACATGGAGAAACCCCGTCTCTACTAAAAATACAAAAATTAGCTGGGTATGGTGGCGGACACCTGTAGTCCCAGCTACTTGGGAGGCTGAGGCAGGGGAATTGCTTGAACCCGGGAGGCAGAGGTTGCAGTGAGCTGAAATCGTGCCACTGCACTCCAGCCTGGGGGACAAAGCAAGACTCCAAAAAAAAAAAAAAGGGGGGGGGGGCGGGTGCCGGGCACAGCAGCTCATACCTGTAATCCCAGCACTTTGGGAGGCTGAGGTGGGTAGATCACCTGAAGTCAGGAGTTCAAGACCAGCCTGGCCAACATGAAACCCCATCTCTACTAAAAATACAAAAAATTAGCCAGATGTAGTGGCAGGCGCCTATAATCCCAGCTACTCAGGGGGCTGAGGCCGAAGAATCACTTGAACCCAGGAGGTGGAGGTTGCAGTGAGCCAAGATCGCGCCACTGTACTCCAGCCCAGGTGACAGAGTGAGACTCTTGTCTCACAAAAAAAAAAAAAAAAAAAAAAAAAGAAACCAAAGCCCCACTATCATTTAAGATAGTAACACAGGCTGGACGCAGTGGCTCATGTCTGTAATCCTAACATTCTGGCAGGCCAAGGCAGGCGGATCACTTGAGGTCAGGAGTTTGAGACCAGTCTGGCCAACATGATGAAACCCCGTCTCTACTAAAAATACAAAATTAGCTGGGCATGGTGGTGCACACCTGTAATCTCAGCTACTTGGGAGGCTGAGGCAGCAGAATCGCTTGAACCTGGGAGGCGGAGGAGGTTACAGTGAGCTGAGATCACACCATTGCACTCCAGCCTGGGTGACAGAGTAAGACTCTGTCTCAAAAAAAAAAGGCCGGGCTCACACCTGTAAACCCAGCACTTTGGGAGACCGAGGTGGGGTGGATCACCTGAGGTCAGGAGTTCGAAACCAGCCTGACCAACACGGAGAAACCCCATCTCTATTAAAAATACAAAATTAGCCAGGCGTGGCGGCACAGGCCTGTAATCCCAGCTACTCAGGAAGGCTGAGGGAGGAGAATCGCTTGAACCTGGAAGTGGAGGTTGCAGTGAGCCGAGACTGCGCCACTGCACTCCAGCCTGGCTAACAAGAGCGAAACTCTATCTCAAAAAAAAAAAAAAAAAAGAAACCAAAGCCCACTATCATTTAAGATAGTAGCACAGGCTGGACACAGTGGCTCATGCCTGTAATCCCAACATTTTGGGAGGCCGAGGCAGACGGATCACTTGAGGTCAGGAGTTCAAGACCAGCCTGGCCAACATGATGAAACCCCATCTCTACTAAAAATACAAAAATTAGCTGGGCGTGGTGGTGCGCACCTGTAATCCTAGCTACTCGGGAGGCTGAGGCAGAAGAATCTCTTGAACCTGGGAGGTGGAGCTTGCAGTGAGCTGAGATCACGCCACTGCACTCTAGCCTGGGCAACAGAGTGAGACTCCATCTCAAAAAAAAAAAAAAAAAAAAAGACAGTAGGACAACTGGAATTAAGATAAACTTCTGCCAGATTCAAGATCCAATACTGTTTCCATCACAAGGCTTCCAATTCAGTCAGGCACAGACTGCACACTCAGTCAGTACCTGTTTCCTTCCACCACATCAATGAGGTCATCAGCTGTAGCATCACTACGTAGAGTCACATCGGCATTATGAATCTTGTATTCAGCCAGAATGCTCTTCACAGTTTCAGCATCCAGCTCACTCTGGGGGCACTGAAAGGGAATAGCAGATGACTAGTCAGCACAAAATTTAAAAAAAATACTTGTCAAGTGTACCAATATCCATGTACCTGGAAAATTCTAGCTAAGATGCAAACTCATTACTAAATACATCCGGGATGAGTGTCACTGACTTTTAGTAGGAAATAAATGTCCAAACTCCAAGGAAGGTGTTACACGCTGAACTGTGTTCCTCCTTCCCCCACCAAATAATTCACATGAAGTCTTAACCTCAGTATCTCAGAATGTGATGTATTTGGAGATAGGGTCTTTAAAGCGGTAATCAAATTAGAATAAGGTCATTAGGGTGGGGCCATAATCCAATACTGGTGGTCCTAATAAGAAAAGGAGATTAGGACACAGACACACAGAGCAAACACCATATGAAGTCCCATCTGTAAGCCAAGGACAGAAGCCTCAGAAGAAATCAACCCTGCCATCAACTTCATCTCAGACTTCTAGCCTCTAGAATTATGAAAAATAAATTTCTGTTATTTAAGCCACCCATCTGTGGTACCGTATTATGGCAGCACTGAAACTAACACAGAAATAATCTTAAATGTTCAAATTTGAATATTAAGACGGGATAATGGGAAAGATGTTTTGGGCAGGACAGCTGAAACCTATGCCAGTCAAATCATCTGGGCTCTGAAGTGTTAAATTTAGTAGGAAACTCTCAGTCCTCAATTCTGACAGAGAAGCAGCATTTGACAGAATTGGTCACTCCTATGTGAAACACTTTACTTGGCTTCCAGTATTTCAAACTCTTTCAGTTTTCCTTCTCTCTCTTGGTCTAAGAAGTCTTATTTCTCTGAGTCTCTTTTCTTTCTTTTTTTTCTTTTGAGACGGAGTTTTGCTCTTGTTGCCCAGGCTGGAGTGCAGTGGCGCGATCTCAGCTCACTGCAACCTCCGCCTCCTGGGTTCAAGCAATTCTCCTGCCTCAGCCTCCGAAGTACCAGGATCACAGGCACGTGCCACCACGCCTGGCTAATTTTTGTATTTTTAGTACAGACAGGGTTTTGCCATGTTGGTCAGGCTGGCCTCCAACTCCTGACCTCATGTAATCTGCCCACTTCGGCCTCCCAAAGTGTTGGGATTACAGGCGTAAGCCACCGTGCCTGGCCGATTCTCTTTTCTTTTCTTTCTTTCTTTCTTTTTTTTTTTGAGACGGAGTCCCGCTCTGTCACCAGGCTGGAGTGCAGTGGCGTCATCTCGGCTCACTGCAACCTCCACCTCTTGGGTTCGATTCTCCTGCCTCAGCCTCCCGAGTAGCTGAGATTACAAGTGCGTGCCACCATGCCCGGCTAATTTTTGTGTTTTTAGTAGATACAGGGTTTCACCATGTTGGCCAGGATGGTCTCCATCTCTTGACCTTGTGATCCGCCCACCTCGGACTCCCAAAGTACTGGGATTACAGGTGTGAGCCACTGCACCCAGCTCTCTTTTCTTTTCTATCTATACTCACATCCTTGGTGATCTCAGTTAGGCCCATGACATTAAAGTTGATAATCACCAAATTTATATATCCAGCCTAGATAATTCCTCATGCCTTCTTTATTATTTTTATAGAGATGGGGTCTCACTTTGTTGCCCAAGCTGGTCTTGAACTCCTGGGCTCAAGTGATCCTCCTGCCTCAACCTCCCAAAGTGCTGGGATTATAGATGTACAGGCATGAGCCACCATGCCCAGCCTACCCCACATGCCCTCTTGACTGAAATACCTGGATGTCTCACTGGCATCTAAAATTTAACATCCTGATCTTCTCCTTCCCTCCAAATCTATTCTACCAAAAGTCCTACCATTTTAGTAATAAGAGTTCATTTTTTTTTTAGCTCAGGAAATAAAAAACATGGCTGGGTATGGTGGCTCATACCTGTAATCCCAACACTTTGGGAGACCGAAGCAGGAGACAGCTTGAGGCCAAAAGTTCAAGACCAGCCTGGGCAACATGGCAAATCTCCGTTTCTACCAAAAAAAAAAAAAAAAAAAAAAATTAGCCAAGCCTGGAGGCATGTGACTTAGCCCTAGCTACTTAGAAGGCTGAGGCAGGAGGGTCACTTGAGCCCAAGAGTTTTGAGCTAACAGTGAACTATGATTGTGCCACTGTACTCCAGCCTAAGCAACAGAATGAAACCGACCAGCCTGGCCAACATGGTGAAACCCCGTCTCTACTAAAAATACAAAAGTTAGCTGGGTGCGATGGCAGGCACCTGTAATCCCAGCTACTCAGGAGGTTGAGGCATGAAGCAAATGCTCTTCTTCAAGATATCCACTTGGTTCACACCTTCATGTCACCTCAGTAAAGACTTCCCTGACCAACGTTCTTAAAACTGCAACCCTCACACCAACACTCTTATCTCCTTTCCCTACTTTGTGTTCTTATATTTATCATTGACGAATACATTATATTTTACTCATTAACATTGTTTTCTATTCTATCCAATTAGAATATAAAAGCAGGGGGTTTCACTATTCCCTCTTCCATTCCTGCCCAGAGCCTAAAATAATGCTTGGCCCGTGGTAGGCACTCTATAAATTTGTGTTAAATGAATGAAAACAGAAGATATTGGCGGCCATCTACTTTATGCAAGCATAATATTGGTCCACACGCCCATATCATTCCCAATAGATAATCCAAAAGAGGAAATAAGTAGCAAAGGTAAGTCTGAGACTGGCTCCTATCCTAATCTTGAAGTTTTTCTTGTCAGTCATTATAAAGTCATTGTGTTATCTCAATTAGTGCAGGGAAAAGCCAGGAAATTTTCCAATGTCAGGGTCCATGCACCCCAATCCACTCCCCATTCCAATTCCTGCAGCAGCCTGCCCCATGTCATATTCCCCACTTACAGTGGCTGTGAGATTAATGCCTCCCTTGTCCTTCTTCTTAAAGCCAATGTTGGGGGGTTTGCTGTTCAAGCGAATGCCAAAGCCTTCCAGCTCATTTTCAATTATCTTCTTATGTCCCAAAGGTTTCAGGACATCCAGAACAATCAAGATCAAGTTACAGGTTCGGGCCACTGAAGAGTAAGAAAAAAACATACGCAAGAAAGTTCAATAAAGCCTTAACTAACCCAAATACTCAAGTAGAGGTGTTTTTTCCCCCTACATTTAAGTGTCAAAGGATTTTTCTGTAATACATACATGCATACGTGAAGTTCTTATAGCTACAGAAGATTTATACCAGAAGTCAATTTGCTTTGTATGCCATGAAATCAGCACCTATTTGCCCAAGAGTTGACACATTTTCTGTTGCCCAGGCTGGAGTGCAGTGGCACAATCTTGGCTTACTGCAACCTCTGCCTCCCGGGTTCAAGCGATTCTCCTCCCTCAGCCACCCCAGTAGCTGGGACTACAGGCACATGCCACCATGCCTGGCTAATTGTATTTTAGTAGAGACGAGGTTTCCTCACCATGTTGCCTGGGCTGGTCTCGAACTCCTGAGCTCAGGCAATCCGCCCACCTCAGCCTCCCAAAGTGCTAGGATTACAGGCATGAGCCACTGCGCCCACCCTTGGTTAGCAAATTTTTAACCAAATTTATTGAGGTACAATTTTTTTTTAATTGTATCCATGTTAAAGCACACAGTTCAATAACAAATGTATATACCTGTGTAACCACCAAACCAATCAAGACATGGAATATTTCCATCACCTACAGCATTCCTTTGTGCCTCCTTTCAATCTTCCCCACTATTGCCAGCCAACCACTGATCTGCTTTCTGCCACCATAGTTTGCACGTTTTAGAATTTCATATAAATGGAATCATATAAAATATATTATTTTGGCCTAGCACAGTGGCTCATGCCTGTAATCCTAGCACTTTGGGAGGTTGAGGCAGAAGGATTGCTTGGAGCCAGGAGTTTGAGACCAGCCTGTGCAACAAAGTAAGATTCAATCTGTATAAAAAAAAAAAAAAGTAGTCTTTTGTGCCTGCATATCTTATTTTTATTAATATATATTTATATTGACAGAGACAGAGTCTCGCTCTATTGCCTAGACTGGAGTGCAGTGGCATGATCATAGCTCACTGTAGCCTTTAACTCCTGGCCTCAAGCAATCCTCCTGCCTTGGTCTCCCAAACTGCCGAGACTGCAGGCATGAGTCACAGTATCTGGCCTTTTTCTATATTAAAATTCATTTGTCAAAAATCCTGCTTCCAGCTGGGCACGGGAGCTCATACCTATAATCCCAGCACTTTGGGAGGCTGAAGCGAGAAGATCACCTGAGGTCAGGAGCTTGAGACCAGCCTGGTCAACATGGTGAAACCCTGTCTCTGCTAAAAATAGAAAAACTGGCCGGCGCAGTGGCTCACGCCTGTAATCCCAGCAGTTCGGGACGCTGAGGCAGGAGGATCACAAGGTGAGCTGATTGAGACCATCCCGGCCAACATGGTAAAACCCCATCTCTACTAAAAATTCAAAAAATTAGCCGGATGTGGTGGCACATGCCTGTAGTCCCAGCTACTTGGGAGGCTGAGGCAGGAGAATCTCTTAAACCCGGGAGGCAGAGATTGCAGTGAGCTGAGATTGCGCCACTGCACTCCAGCCTGGGCAACAGAGCGAGAATCCATCTACAAAAATAAATAAATAAATAAATAATTAGCTGGCCATGGTAGTGGACACCTGTAATCCCAGCTACTCAGGAGGCTGAGGCACGAGAATCACTTGAACCAGGGAGGCAGAGGTTGCAGTGAGCCGAGATCATGCCACTGCACTCCAGCCAGCCTGGGCAACAGAGCGCCATCTCAGAAAAAAAAAAATATTCTGCTTCCATCAACTTTCTAGTTCCTCATTTTTTAAAATTCTCTTTTTTGAAGAGACAGGGTCTCGCTTTGTCACTCAGGCTGGAGTGCAGTCGCATGATCATAGCTCATTATAACCTCCACCTCCTGGGCTCAACTGATCATCCTGCCTCAGTCTCCTTGAATATCCGGGACTACACATGTGTGCCATGTCACATGGCTATTTTTTTCTTTTTTTTAATTTTTATTTTTGTAGAGACAGGGTCTTGCAATGTTGCCCAGGTTGGTCTCGAACTCCTGGCCTCAAGTGATCCTCCTGCCTCAGCCTCCCAAAGTGCTGGGATTACAGGTATGAGCCATTGCACCTGACCCTGACCCCTCATTCTTTTTTTGAGATGCAGTAGAGACAGCATTTCACCATGTTGTTCAGGCTGGTCTTGAACTCCTGACCTCATGATCTGCCCACCTCGGCCTCCCAAAGTGTTGGGATTACAGGCGTGAGCCACCATGCCCAGCCTCAGTGGTAGACTTTTTTTTTTTTTTTGAGATGGAGTTTCACTCTTGTTGCCCAGGCTGGAGTGCATTGGTGCGACCTCAGCTCACAACCTCTGCCTCCTGGGTTCAAGCAATTCTCCTGACTCAGCCTCCCAAGTAGCTGGGATTACAGGCATGGACCACCACTCCTAGCTAATTTTGCATTTTTAATAGAGACAGGGTTTCTCCATGTTAGTCAGGCTGGTCTCAAACTTTCAACCTCAGGTGATCCGCTCGCCTCAGCCTCCTAAAGTGCTGGGATTACATGCATGTACCACCATGCCCAGCCTGATTTTATTTTATTTATTTTATTTTTTTGAGATGGAGTCTTGCTCTGTCATGCAGGCTGGAGTGCAATGGCGTGATCTCGGCTCACTGCAACCTCCGCCTCCTGGGTTCAAGCTATTCTCCTGCCTCAGCCTCCCAAGTAGCTGGGACTACAGGCATGCATCACCATGCCCAGCTACTTTTTGTATTTTTAGTACAGACAGGGTTTCACCATGATAGCCAGACTGGTCTCAAACTCCTGATCTCAAGTGATCCACCCCCCTCAGCCTCCCAGAGTGCTGCAATTACAGGCATGAGCCACCAAGCAGCCATGATTTTATTTTTATTATTATTATTTTTTGACACAGAGTCTTGCTCTGTCGCCAGGCTGGAGTGCAGTGGTGCAATCTCGGCTCACTGCAACCTCTGCCTCCCAGGTTTAAGCGATTCTCCTGCCTCAGCCTCCCGAGCAGCTTGGGACTACAGGCGCGCACCACCACACCCAGCTAATTTTTGTATTTTTAGCAGAGACGGGGTTTCACCACCTTGGCCAGGTTGGTCTCGATCTCCTGACCTGGTGATCCACCCGCCTCGGCCTCCCAAAGTGCTGGAATTACAGGTGTGAGCCACCATGCCCGGCCTTATTATTATTATTATTTTTTTTTTTGAGACAGGGTGTCTGTGTGCTGCCCAGGCTGCAGTGCAGTGGCATGATCATGGCTCACTGCAGATTGACCTCCTGGGCTCAAGAGAACCTCCTACCTCAGCCTCCCGAACAGCTGGGACTACAGAAGCATACCACCACATCCAGCTATTTTTTTTTTTTTTTTTGAGACAGAATCTTGCTGTCACCAGGGTGGAGTGCAATGGTGCAATTTCCGCTCACTACAACCTCTGCCGCCTGGATTCAAGCGATTCTCCTGCCTCAGCCTTCTGAGTAGCTGGGACTATAGGCACACGCCACCATGCCCAGCTAATTTTTATATTTTTAATAGACACGCGGTTTCACCATGTTGGCCAGGATGGTCTCGATCTCTTCATCTTGTGATGCACCTGCTTCAGCCTCCCAAAGTGCTGGAATTACAGACTATGGAATTACAGGTACCTGCCACCATGCCTGGCTAATTTTTGTATTTTTAGTAGAGATGGGGTTTCACCACGTTGGCCAGGCTGGTCTTGAACTCCTGACCTCAGGTGATCCACCCACCTTGGCCTCCCAAAGTGCTGGAATTACAGACTGTGAGCCACCACACCCGGACGGCCAGTGATATCTTAAGCCCAGTGACTGAAGTGATAGAAAAGGAGGTCAGAGAGGCAGCCAGGGGCCAGGTCATTTACCGTAGCTTGTAAGCTATGTTAAGACTTTGGGTCTCATCCCAAATAATATGGGAAAACATCAGAAGGTATAGCCAACAAATGACATGATCTGACTTCTTTTTTTTGTTTGCTTTCTTGAGACAGAGTCTCACTCTGTCACGCAGGCTGGAATGCAGTGGTGTCATCTCACCTGACTACAACCTCCGCCTCCCAGGTTCAAGTGATCCTCCCATCTCAGCCTCCCAAGTAGCTAATTTTTGTATTTTTAGTAGAGATCGGGTTTTGCCGTGTTAGCCAGGATAGTCTGGAACTCCTGGCCTCAAGTGATCTGCCTGCCTCTGTGCTGGGATTACAGTCATGAGCCATCGTGCCTGGACTGATCTGACTTCTTATACACAATCATACTAGCTGTAGTGAGAAGATACTACAGAGCAGTAGGATAGCAGCAAGAAGGCCAGTTATGGGGCTATAATGTTAGAGACAAGGCATAATGAAGGAAGTGACAATATAGGTGAAGAGTTTGCAGTCACTACGAATCAAAGGGGAAAAAAAAAGAAGGTGTTGGGGAAAGTGACCCATTATACAGAGAAAATTAAAATTGGATACCCTTCTAATATCAGATATAAGAGTAGTCTCTAGGTAAATAAAGGACCTAAAAGTATAGAAAAAACAGGAGACTATATCTAAGACCTAAGGAAAGATAAGGACTTCTTAAATAAAACTTTAAAAGCACAAACCATAAGAAAAAATAAAGAGTAGGCCAGGTGCTCACACCTGTAATCTCAGCACTTTGGGAGGCCGAGGCAGGCGGATCACTTGAGGTGAGGAGTTCTAGACAAGCCTGGCCAACATGGTGAAACCCCGTTTCTACTAAAAATACAAAAAAATTAGCCAGGCGTGGTGGCACACACCTGTGGTCCCAGCTACAAATAAAGTGTAGATTCTAACAAAATTAAGGATTTTTATTCAACAAATACCACCTTGGACAAAATTAACGGGAGAAGATATTTATAATGTCTAAAGATGACAAGGAATTAATATCGAGAGCAGTGGTATCCAATAAAAGTTTCTGTAATAATGAAAATATTCTGCATCTGTACTGTGCAATACAGTAGTTACTAGTCAAGTGTAGCTAATAAACACATAAAATGTGGTTTACATAATTGAGGAACTAAATTTTAAATTTTATTCAATTGTAATTAAATGTTAGTCACATGTAACTAGTAGATATCATATTAGACATAGAATTTAAGAGAAATACTTGAAAAACAGTAAGACAACAATCACTGCCTAGGCAATATATCGAGATTCTACCCCTAAAAAAGTAAAAATCAATCAGCCTGCCATGGTCGTACATGCCAGCAGTCCCAGCTACTCGGGAAGCTGAGAAGAGAGAGACTCTCGAGCCCGGGGTTTTCGAGACCACCCTGAACAACATAGTGAGACTGTCTCTCAAAAAGTAAAAAATTAGCGGGTATGATGGTACATGCCTGTAGTCCTTAGCTACTCAAGAGGCTAAGAAGGAAGGATCACCTGATCCCAGGAAATTGAGGCTGCAGTGAGCTGTGATCATGCCACTGTACTCCAGCCTGGGCAAGAGAGCAAGATCCTATCTCTAAAAAAAAAAAAAAAAGAAAATGTGCCATGAACTGAGAAGCATGATTAACTCAACCTTTTGGTAGAGTTTCCTCCTTAGCATAGTAGCCAGCATGTCAGTCACATAAGTTTTTCACTTAAGGATGAAAAAGGGGGAAAAAAAGAGTGGCTGGCCTCTAGATATATTTCAAAGGTAAAACCAGCTGGATATAACAACACAGTAGATGTGCGGGATGAAAGGGAAAAAAAGATTTGACCTAAAAGTTCTGAAGGATAAATTTGCCTTTACTGAGATAGAAAAGACTAAGGGAAGAGCAAGTTGAGGATGGGAGATCAAGAATTTTTTTGTTTTTTAATTTTTAAATTTACTTTCATTTTTTAATAGAGATGAGGTATCACTATGTTGCCCAGGCTGGTCTCAAACTCCTGAGCTCAAGTGATCCTCCCGCCTCAGCTAAGATCAAGAATGTAATCTTACACGTTAACTTTGAGACACCTAATTAGACATCCAAGCAGAGATATGTTGGCAGCTGGTATGCACTTCATCAGAGGGCAAATTACTGCCACACATTTCATAATCATTAGAATATAGATCCAGACATTTAAAACCAAAGAACTAGATGAAATAACTCTCATTTGGCATAGACAGAGCAGAGACAGAGAAAAAAAGAATCTCCAAGATTAGGTGTTGGGGCAATCCACATTTAAAGAGTCTGATGATGGGGCAGATCAAGCAAAGGAGACCAGGAAGGGGCACTGGTGTCAGAGATCAGGTAAAGCAAATACTCCAAGGATGGAGTGATCAACTGTGTTATTCTCTTTAGAAAGATGTGGACAATAAATTGGCCATCAGGTTTGACAACAGGGAAGTCATATGTGTTCTTGTTAAGAATAGACAGGTGTCGGGAGGGCCCGGTGGCTCACCCCTGTAATCCTAGCACTTTGGGAGGCCAAGGTGGGTGGATCACCTGAGGTCAGGAGTTCAAGACCAGCCTGGACAACGTGGTGAAACCCCATCTCTACTAAAAATACAAAACTTAGCCAGGCGTGGTGGCAGGTGCCTGTAATCCCAGCTACTCAGGAGGCTGAGGCAGGATAATGACTTGAAACCGGGAGGCAGATATTGCATGAGCCAAGATCGCACCATTGCACTCCAGCCTGGGCAACAGAGTGGGACTCCATCTCAAAAAAAAAAAAAAAAAAAAAAACCCACAATAGGTAGGAGTCTAAGAGAAAATAATGCATCCATGAAACAAGAATAAGATGCTAAAAAAAGGAAAAATCAGAAGACAGAAACAAAGTCTTAGAAATTAAAAATAATACTAGAGCAGAAATACACTCAATAGCAGGATTAGAAGACAATGCTGAGAAAATCACATAAAGAAAAAATTAAGAGACAAAAGATAATTTTAAAAAATTAAAAGGGCCAAGTGCAGCAGCTCACACCTGTAATCCCAACACTTTGGGAGGTCAAGGCAGGAGGATCACTGAGCCCAGGGGCTCAAGACCAGCCTGGGCAACAGAGCAAGACCCCTACAAAAAAATTTTAAAAATTAGCCCACACGGTGTTGCGTGCCTGTAGTCCTAGCTACTCAGAAAGCTGACATGGGAAGATTGCTTGAGCCTATGAGTTCATGGTTACGGTGAGCTACGTACAATCAGGCCGCTGCACTCCAGCCTGGGTGACAGAGTGAGACTCTATCTTTATAAAAAAAGAAAATTAAGAAAATTATAAACCCAGAAGTCCAGCATTCTATTAGCAGTCCTTCCATAAATAAGGAACTCAGAAATAGAGGCAATTATCAAAGAAAACAGGAAAATCTTCCATAAAATGAAAGATATGAGTCATCATGCTGAAAGAGTCTACCACACCAGGAAAGGGAGATGGAAATTAAAAATAAAAATAAAAAAAAGGCAACCCAGGCAACATGGCAAAACCCTGTCTCTACTAAAAATACAAAAAAATTAGCCGGGTATGGTGGCACGCACCTGTAGTCCCTGCTACTCGGGAGACTGAGGTGGATAACCTGAGTCCAGGGAGTCGAGGCTCCAGTGAGCCGAGATCCCACCACTGCACTCCAGGCTAGGTGATGGGAGTGTTTCAAAAAAAAAGAAAAAAAAAGGCTCCACCAAATATCCAGCAAAATAAATCAAAGAAAAGAAAGAGAGGGCCAGGCACGGTGGTTCACACCTGCAATCTCAGCACTTTGGGAGGCCGAGGCGGGCGGATCACGAGGTCAGGAGATCGAGACCATCCTGGCTAACACGATGAAACCCCATCTTTACTAAAAATACAAAAAATAGCCGTGCATGGTGGCGGGCGCCTGTAGTCCCAGCTACTCAGGAGGCTGAGGCAGGAGAATGGCATGAGCCCGGGAGGCGGAGCTTGCAGTGTGCCAAGATGGCACCACAGCATTCTAGCCTGGGCGACAGAGCGAGACTCCATCTCAAAAAAAAAAAAAAAAGAAAGAAAGAAAATAAAACAAAGAAAAAGGAAAAGCCCAAACCAAGAATTAGTTTGCTGAAGTAGCTTTTTTTTTTCTAACACAGAGGCTCACTCTGTTGGCACGATCTCAGCTCACTGCAAGCTCCACCTCCCGGGTTCACGCCATTCTCCTGCCTCAGCCTCCCAAGTAGCTGGGACTACAGGCGCCCACCACCACTCCCGGTTAATTTTTTTTTGTATTTTTAGTAGAGGCAGGGTTTCACTGTGTTAGCCAGGATTGTCTCGATCTCCTGACCTCGTGATTTGCCCGTCTCGGCCTCCCAAAATGCTGGGATTACAGGCGTGAGCCACAGTGCCCGGCCTGAAGTAGCTTTTAAGATCTTCCAGTGAGGGAAAAAAGTTGGTTTTTTATCAAAAAACAAAAAAAAGTTCTAACTATTGGACTCAACAGCAATAGTAGATGCTAGAAGATAGCGTTCTTCAAATTTCTGAGGGAAAATGACTTCTAATTTATAATTCTATAAATAGCCAAATTAATGACTCCAGTACAAGGGTAAAATAAAAATAACCTTCAAACATGAAAGGACAGCACTCTGGGAGACTGAGGCAGGCAGATCACTTGAGCTTCAGCCTGGGTAACATGGTGAAACTCCGTCTCTACCAAAAAAAAAAAAATTAGCCAGGCATAGTGACACACCCCTGTAGTCCCTGCTACCTGGGAGGCTGAGGTGGGAGGATCCCTTGAACCCGGGAGGCAGAGGTTGCAGTGAGCCAAGATTCTCCCACTGCACTCCAGCCTGGATGACAGAGTGAGCCACTGTCCCAAAAAAAAAAAAAAAAAGAAAAGACAGAAAAATTTAACTGTATCATTCATCTTCTCTGGGGAAGTTATTAAAGAATGTGCTTCAGCAAAACATCCCAAAAAAGTAGACACTGCCTCTAGGAAACAGAAGATCCCACACAAGAGCAGAAAATCTCAAGACGACAGCCATATAAAATGTCTAAAGCTGCATTGTCCAATACAGACTCCACTAGCTCCTTAATTGTACTAGGCACATTTCAAGAGCTCTATACCCATACATGCCTAGGAGCTACAATGTTGGACAGCAGAGATTCAGAACATTGCTAACGTTGCAGCTGAGGTCCCTTCAAGCTTCAACTTAAATGAGAAGTCAGGTGAAACTATGCCCTTCACTGTGGTATAATCTCCAAGCCAAGTAGTCCCTGACTAAAAGAATAGTACCAGAGAAGGGAATGATATCCCAGGATGGTGGCACTTAAACCACTCACCTGCAATGACTTGACGACCTCTACCTTTCCCATCCTTGGCACCTTCAATGATACCTGGGAGATCCAGGAGCTGCAAGATTAAGAATGGGGGAAGAGGATGAAAGAAAAAACTGGTTATAAATTTGAAAATATCAAACAGAATTAATTTATTTCTCAAGTACCTATAATTTATCAGACCCAAATCCAATCTTCCTTATAAGCGAGTGTGTGAATATTACTTTTAATAAGCACCTACTAAATGTCAGCTACAGGCTTTTTTTTTTTTGGAGATGGAGTTTCATGCTTTTTGCCCAGGCTGGAGTACAACGGCACAATCTCAGCTCACTGCAACCTCTGCCTCTCGGGTTCAAGGGATTCTCCTGCCTCAGCCTCTCAAGTAGCTGGGATTACAGATACCTGCCACCACGCTGGCAAACTTTTTTGTATTTTTAGTACAGACGGGGATTTCACCATGTTGGCCAGGCTGGTCTCAAACTCCTGACCTCAGGGATCCACCGGCATCAGCCTCCCAAAGTGCTGGAATTACAGGCGTGAGCCACCACGCCCAGCCTATAGGCGTTTTTTGTTTGTCTGTTAGTTTTGGGAGATGCCAGCCTATAGGCGTTTTTTGTTTGTTTGTTTGTTTTGGGAGAGGAGTCTCACTCTGCCGCCCAAGCTGGAGTGCAGTGGTGCCACCTCTGCTCACTGAAACCTCCACCTCCCGGGTTCAAGCGATTCTTCTGCCTCAAATTCCCGAGTAGCTGGGACTACAGGTGCACGCCACCACGCCCAGCTAATTTTTGTATTTTTAGTAGGGACGGGGTTTCACCATATTGGCCAGGCTGGTCTCAAACTCCTGAACTCGAGATCTGCCCGCCTCGACCTCCCAAAGTGCTGGGATTACAGGCATGAGCCACTGCACCTAGGCCGGGCTTTTTATGTACCTTACCTCCTTGAAAATGCCTAACAACCCTGTGAGATAAGGATACTAGCTGAAGTTCACAGCAGGTAAGTGACTTGTCCAAAGTCATAGTCCTAATAGGTTATAACCCATGTTTTCTAGCCAAAATCCATTATTCTACATTATTTTTTGTTTGTTTGTTTTTAAAAGACGGAGTCTCACTCTGCCACCCAGGCTGGAATGCAGTGGCGTGATCTCGGCTCACTGCAACCTCTGCCTCCCAGGTTCTAGCAATTATCCTGTCTCAGCCTCCAGAGTAGCTGGGACTACAGGGCATATGCCACCATATCTGACTAATTTTTTGTATTTTAGTAGAGTCAGGGTTTCGACGTGTTGCCCAGGCTGGTCTCGAACTCCTGAGCTCAGGCAATCCACCCACCTCAGCCTCCCAAAGTACTAGGATTACAGGAGTGAGCCACCATGCCCAGCCAATTCTACATTAATATTTTTCAGTGTTCCCCCACTTTTCAGAAGGCTGAGCCTCCATATAAATTCCTTACAGCAGGTATCAGCTGAATCTTGATATTTACATATGATACATATTGCAATTTCTGCAAATCCCCAACTCACAAAAATTTTTGTAGCCGTTCTTAAGCAGGCACAACCGAATCACCTGGAAAAACTTTTAAAATGTAGAGAGCTGAAACCCATCCCTGCAGATTCTGATTTGAAGGGCCAACAGATAGGGATCTGTACTTCAAAAGGCTTTACAAGTGACTCTGATGTATGTCCCCAGTAAAAAATGACTGCTCAGGCTGGGCCCAGTAACTCACACCTATAATTCCACAGCACTTTCCCAGAGGCCGAAGCAGGCAGATTGCTTGAGCTCAGGAGTTCGAGACCATCCTAGCCAACATGGTGAAACCCCGTCTGTACAAAAAATACAAAAATTAGCCGGGTATGGTGGCACACACCTGTAATCCCAGCTACTCTGGAGGCTGAGGCACAAGAATGGCTTGAACCCGACAGTCGAAGGTTGCAGTGAGCCGAGATTATGCCAGCCTGGGCGACAGAGTAAGACTCCATCTCAAAAAATAATAAAAATAAATAAATAAATTTTAAAAGATTTTAAAAAGATAAAAATGACTGCTCAACTGCCCAGGAAATGCAGTAAGGTAAAACTTCACAGAACTCAGTGTACCTAATGATGTGATTGAAAAACCAACCCCACAGCACATGTGATTCAAATTTACATCTCAGCAAAATTATAAACTATTAATTTGACTGCCCTTAAGAATCAGTCAAAACAGTTAAAACAAATATAAAATCTAAAAATACCAAGGGTCTACTGTATGGCAAATACTGAATTATACACATAAATGAACTGAAAACAGATGCAGCTTATTAAAACATCACTTAAAATATCTTTTTTTTTTTTTTTTTTTTTTTGAGAATGAGTCTCGCTCTATCGCCCAGGCTGAAGTGCAGTGGTGCAATCTTGGTTCATTGCAATGTCCGCCTCCCAGGTTCAAGCGATTCTCGCACCTCAGCCTCCTGAGCAGCTGGGATTACAGGTGCTCGCCACCATGCCCCACCAATTTTTTTTATGTATTTTTAGTAGAGACAAGTTTTCACCATGTTGGCCAGGCTGGTCTCGAACTCCTGACCTCAAGTGATCTGCTCGCGTCAGTCTCCCAAAGTGCTGGGATTATAGGCATGAGACACAGTGTCTGGCCTTGCTTTTTCATAGGGATTCTCAGCTGGGCATGGTGGCTCAAGCCTGTAATCCCAGTACTTTGGGAGGCCAAGGTGAGCGGATCATCTGAGGTCAGGAGATCAAGACCAGCTTGGCCAACATGGTGAAACCCTGTCTCTACTAAAAATACACAAAAAAATTAGTGGGGCGTAGTGGCGGGCACCTGTAATCCCAGCTCCCTCAGGAGGCTGAGGCAGGAGAATTGCTTGAACCCAGGAGGCAGAGGTTGCAGTGAGCTGAGATCACACCACTGCACTCCAGCCTGGGCAATGAAGCAAGACTCTATCTCAAAAAAAAAAAAAAAAAAAAAAGAAGGAAAAAAAGGGGAGTCTCGCTCCATCACCCAGGCTGGAGTGCGGTGGTGTGATCTCGGCTCACTGCAACCTCTGCCTCTCAGGTTCAAGTAATTCTCCTGCCTCAGCCTCCCGAGTAGCTGGGATTACAGGTGCCCGCCACCATGCCCCACTAATTTTTTTTGTGTATTTTTAGTAGAGACAGGGTTTCACCACATTGGCCAAGCTGGTCTCGATCTCCTGACCTCAGGTGATCCGCTCACCTCGGCCTCCCAAAGTGCTGGGATTATAGGCTTGAACCACCACGCCTGACCAAAACATAATTTAAATCAGATATGCTTTGCTCTAAGAATATAAGAAATTACAGAAATATACTTTGCATTAAATAAACTGCAATGAAAACTGATTTAGCAGGTGCGAGACAGTTCAACTTCTCCATTCAAGAACGTACTCAAAAAAAAAAAAAAGAAAAATGAAAATAAAAAATAAAAATAAAACAAACAAAAGAACATACTCAGGCCCAGGACAGTGGCTCATGCCTATAACCCCAGCACCTCAGGAGGCTGAGGCAGGTAGACTGCTTGTGTGCAGGAGTTCAAGACCAGCCTGGACAACATATTGAGACTCTGTCTCTACAAAAAAATAAAAAATTAGTCAGGCATGGTAGTGCATGCCTATAGTCCCAGCTACTTGGAAGGCTACGGTGGGAGGATCACTTGAACCCAGGAGGTCGAGGCTGCAGTGAGCCATGATCGTACCCGTGCCACTGCATTCAGCCTGGGTGACAGAGCGAGGGAGAATTACCATGAGGCAAAAGTACAATAATAACTGTTACAGACAAGACCCACAGATGGATGCGAAAATGAGCAGGCAAAAGTTTGAGGAAAAACAGGATTTGCATCTTCTTGAAGTATCTCCCCTAAAATATATATTAACTGTCCAAAAAAAGGTAACTTTAGAGAAACCCTACAGACACAACCATAACCAATTGATGGAGGACAATATCACCAATAAGACATACTGACAATATGAATCCCATGGTAGGAGGCACTGAGAAAGACAGTATCATTTCTGTGGTATTCTTGCCAAAAATACCTAATAAGTCTAACCAAGAGAAAACATCACACAAACCCAAATTGAGGAACATTATACAAAATAACTGATCATTACTCTTTGAGAGTGACAAGGTCACAAAAGATAAGACAGAGACTACTGCAGATGGCAAACAAATAGACAGAAATAGCTAAATGCATCATGGGATGATCCTAGATAAAAATTTTAGAAGAGAAAAAGGACACTGGTGGAAAAAACAGGTAAAAATTAAAATAAGATCTATAGTTTAGTGAATACTGTTGCAGAAATGTTCATCTATCTCTGATAATTTTTCTATGGTTATGTAAGATGTTAACAACAGGAGAAGCAGGCAAGTGATACGAGAACTCTTTGTACTATGTTTGCAACTTTTTTTTTTTTTTTCCGGGACAGGGTCTCATTCTGTCGCCCAGGCTGGAGTGCAGTAACACGATCTCGGCTCACTGCAACATCTGCCTCCCAGGTTCAAGCAATTCTCCTGCCTCAACCTCCCTAGGAGCTGGTATTAAAGATGCCTGGCTAATTTTTTATTTTTAGTAGAGACAGGGTTTCAACATGTTGGCCAAGCTCAAAAAGTTTATACAAAATGAGAGAAAAAAAGACCACGAGAGAGAATTAAAAGCTCACCAACATGAATGCAAAATTATGCAGAATGAAAGAAGCCTATGGAAAAGAAAGTGCATTTATATTTATATGTGGTTTTTGTTTATGTAAAGTTCTTAACATGTAAACTAATCTACAGTAACAAAAAGCAGGTAAGTGGCCAAGCGCAGTGGCTCACACCTGTAATCCCAACATTTTGGGAGGTCGAGGCAGGCAGATCATGAGGTCAGGAGTTCAAGACCAGCCTGGCCAACATAGTGAAACTCCGTCTCTACTAAAAATACAAAAATTAGTCGGGCATGGTGGCACATACCTATAGTCCCAGCTACTCAGGAGGCTGAGGCAGGAGAATCACTTGAAGCCGGGAGGAGGTTGGAGTGAGCCGAGATTGTGCCACTGCACTCCATCTTGGGCAACACAATGAGACTTCGTCTCAAAAAAAAAAAAAAAAGAAAAAAGAAAAAAGAAACGGCCAGGCATGGTGGCTCACGCCTATAATCCCAGCACTTTGGGAGGCCGAGGCGGGTGGATCACCTGAAGTCAGGAGTTCGAGACTAGCCTGATCAATATGGTGAAACCCCGTCTCTACTAAAAATACAAAATTAGCTGGGCATAGTGGTGGGCACCTGTAATCCCAGCTACTTGGGAGGCTGAGACAGGAGAATCACTTGAACCCGGGAGGCGGAGATTGTAGTGAGCCAAGATCACGCCACTGCACTCCAGCCTGGGCAACAGAGTAAGACTCCGTCTCAAATAAAAAAATAAATAAACCCCCCCACACACACACACATGCCCAACAGTATGAGCCTAACTGATGTTAGCAAGAACTCAAAAGGATAATCTACATGAATAATCTAAAACTGTTCAAAACTGGAATATGACTATAACTTCAAAAAGATCATCTGAAAGAGAGAATGAATAAACTGAGGGAAAAAGGGCAAGGGCTTTCTAACTGTGGCAGCTGAACACAGGCAGAAAATTTATTAAGGCCCGGCCAGGCACGGTGGCTCAAGCCTATAATCCCACCACTTTAAGAGGCCAAGGCATGTGGATCACAAGGTCAGGAGTTCAAGACCAGCCTGGCCAATATGGTGAAACCCAGTCTCTACTGAAAATACAAAAATTAGCCAGGTGTGGTGGCATGCGCATGTAGTCCCAGCTACTTGAGAGGCTGCGGTAGAAGAATCACTTAAATCCTGGAGGCAGAGGTTGCAGTGAGCCGAATCACGCCACTGCACTCCAGCCTGGGTGACACAGCAAGACTCTGTCTCAAAAAAAAAAAAAAGAAAATTTATTAAGGCCTCTACAAAAGTAAAGGCAACCTAAATTTAGCTTTTCTTCAGAGGGAAATATTTTAAAAGTTAGGCTGAAGAATTTAAATGTAGCAACTAATAATTCAACATTCAATAACAACATTCAATAAAATAGTCAATGCCTAATAAGTAACATTCAATAAAAAGTCAATGCTTTATATATCCGAATTTCATGTTACAACCAACCAAAACCTAAAAAAAAAATATTTATTTAAATCATGGGGCCTGGTGCAGTGGCTCACGCCTGTAATCTAACATCTTGGGAGGCCAAGGTGGGCAGATCACTTGAGGTCAGGAGTTCAAAACCAGCCTGGCAAACATGGTGAAACTCCGTCTCTACTAAAAATACAAAAAAATTAGCTGGGTGTGGTGGCATGTGGCTGAAATCCCAGCTACTCAGGAGACTGAGGCAGGAGAATTGCTTGAACCCTGGAGGCGGAGGTTGCAGTGAGCCGAGATCATGCCACTGCACTCTAGCCTGGGAGACAGAGCAAGATGCTGTCTCAAAACAAAACAAAACAAAAAAACATGGAATTACACAATTTTAAGGAATTAAATGTTAAACTACTTCAAACTCCAATGCCTTTAGAAGTTAAAGCAGGCGAGACCAGGCGCGGTGGCTCACGCCTGTAATCCCAGCACTTTGGGAGGCTGAGGCAGGAGGATCATGAGGTCAGGAGTTCGAGACCAGCCTGACCAACATGGTGAAACCCCGTCTCTACAAAAAAATACAAAAATTAGCCAGCCATGGGGGTGCGTGCCTGTAGTCCCAGCTTACTCGGGAGGCTGAAGCGGGAGAATCACTGGATCCCAGGAGGCGGAGATTGCAGTGAGCTGAGATTGCACCACTGCATTCTAGCCTGGGAGACAGACTCTGTCTCAAAAAAAAAAAAAAAGAAGATTAAGGATACCCACTAGTAAGCTTACATAACTTAGTTTCTGGAGAAAGCCAAAAGAGGATGAAAAACAGAGGCAGAGGACAAAGGGAGGAAAGAGAGCACCATGCAAAAAAAAAGTTGGGGGTCTCTAAGGTCAGAAGACACTGAAATGAGTGAAGGTTTTCTGGGAAAGAGGAGAGGAGTTAAGCAACTCTCTATTTTGAAATACTCAAAAGTCCTGAGAGAGGTGTCAATAGCATCCTACCAAAAAAAAAAAAAAAAAAAAAAAGTTATTCTCTTGAGCTGCCAAAGCTGTGACTCTCAACAAGACTCTGAAACCAGCTAGAATCAAGCCATGGTCCAGATATGTCCACACTGCTTCATTCTTGTTATATACATTTGGACACGGGATCCCAGAAAGGGACATGTGTCTCTGCATGGGCACCTGACCAGCTGGAAAAAGGGTCATTAAAAATACAACCAGGGGGCCGGGCGCGGTGGCTCACACCTGTAATCCCGCATTTTGGGAGGCCAACGCGGGCGGATCACAAGGTCAGGAGTTCGAGACCAGCCTGACCAGCATGGTGAAACCCCATTTCTACTAAAAATACAAAAAATTAGCCCGGCATGGTGGTGCTCACCTGTAGTCCCAGCCCCCACCCTCAGGTGAAAAAGTAGTTCAAGCGATTCTCCAGCCTCAGCCTCCCGAGTTGCTGGGATTACAGGCATGTGCCACTACACCCGGCTAATTTTGTATTTTTAGTAGAGATGGGGTTTCTCCATGTTGGCCAGGCTGGTCTCGAACTCCCGACCTCAGGTGATCTGCCCGCCTTGGCTTCCCAAAGTGCTGGGATTACAGGCGTGAGCCACTGCGCCCGGCCCTTTCTCTGCATTTTCACATGCGCTATCCCATTTTATTATCGTACTGCTCTATTTCCCCTACCAGGTAGTAAGTGCCTGGTAGATCAAAGATCAGGCCTGGCATACAGTGAGCTCCCAATAAACTTCTTCCTAAATGAAGAATAGATTTCTTTCCTTCCTTAGTCTGCAGGCTTGACTCACCTGGATCTTGGCACCTTTGTATCTGATGACACCAGGCACAGTGGTCAGAGTAGTGAATTCATAGGCTGCCACCTCAGAATATACCCCTGCCAGGTTACTAAGCAGTGTTGACTTCCCCACAGATGGAAAACCAACAAATCCAATTCGAGCATCACCTGTCTTGGCCACATCAAAACCTAAAACATCAATGAATACCAAAAAGAGGAGAGTTATCCCCCAGAGTGTTAAGACTCATATAACTTCTTTCACATTTTTACTGCCTATCCCTCTAGGCACTATTTCTCAAACTTTTTATGGTTTACCTTTAAAGGAGAACTAAAGCACACAAAACTTGAGGGCACAGCAATTCACAAAATTCAATGCAGTGTTTGATATAAAAAAACTGTATTCAAAAAAGTCAGGCACAGTGGCACACATCTATAGTCCCTGCTATTCCAGAGGCTGAGGCAGGAGGATCTCTTGAGTCCAAGAATTCAGGTCAAGCCTGAGCAACATGGCAAAACCCTGTCTCTACAAAAAATACAAAAATTAGCCAGGCATGGTGGCATATGCCTGTAGGTCTCAGCTACTTCAGAGGCTGAGGTGGGAGGATCGCTTGAGCCCAGGAGGTTGAGGCTGCAGTGAGCTGTGATCACACCACTGTACTCCAGCCTGGGCAACAGAGCAAGACCCTGTCTCGAAAAAAAAAAAAAAAAAAAAGGTACAGCCCAAATATATGTATGAAAAATGATCCAAAAATAGAGTTGTTAGCTACTCTACCTATGGTGTAGCCCTGCTCTGCCTATGGAGGAGCTGCCCTTTTATAACTAAAATAAACAAATTAATTAATTAAAAAGAGTTTTGTTTTTGTTTTTTTGTCTTTCAAATTCTGTAAATTGTATGACTGACTGGGTTTTCTTTTTTTCTTTTTTCTTTTTACAATGGCTGCCAACAAGTTCAGAGTCAAATCTGTGGCCCTTCTCTACCAGGTGCACAGATCTTACGCCATTCCTTTTAGTCCTAAATCTTATCTCGCTTGGCTTCGACTTATTTTTCCTACGTTTTCCCTTTGCATCAATTTTTTTACTTATTTTTAATCTTGTTGATGATATAGGTTTACATTTCTGTAAGCCAATATAAATCTACTTTGGTTTTGTTTTTTCTTTTTTTTTCTTGAGACAGAGTCTAGCTCTGTCACCCAGGCTGGGGTACAGTGGCATGATCTCGGCTCACTGCAACTTCCACCTCCCAGGTTCAAGCGATTCTCCTGCCTCGGCCTCCTGAGTAGCTGGGATTACAGGTTCGTGCTACCATGCCCAGCTAATTTTTGTATTTTTAGCAGAGACGGGGTTTCACCATGTTGGTCAGGCTAGTCTCGAACTCCTGACCTGTGATCTGCCCACTTCGGCCTCCCGAAGTGCTGGGATTACAGGAGTGAGCCACCGCGCCTGGCCCTACTTTGGTTTTCTTAAGATGAGATCTCGCTCTATCACCCAGGATGGAGTGCAGTGGTGCCATCACAACTCACTGCAGCCTCAACCTCCTGGGTTCAAGCAGTCCTCCCAACTCAGCCTCCCAAGTAGCTGAGACCACAAACATGCACCACCATGCTAGGATACTTTTTTTTTTTTTTTTTTTTTTTGAGACAGAGTCTAGCTCTGTAGCCCAGGCTGGAGTGCAGTGGTACAATCTCACTCACTGCTACCTCTGCCTCCTGGGTCCCGATTCAAGCAATTCTCCTGCCTCAGCCTCTCAAATAGCTGGGATTACAGGCATGCGCCACCATGCCCAGCTAATTTTTGTATTTTTAGTAGAGATGGGGTTTCACCATGCTGGCCAAGCTGGTCTTGAACTCCTGATCTCGTGATCCACGCCTTGGCCTCCCAAAGTGCTAGGATTACAGGCGTGAGCCACCGCACCCAGCCTTTTTTTTTTTTTGGTACATCTTCTTTCATACCTATGGGGACCCCTCATTTCTAAGCCCATAGAGACAGGGCTTTGCTGGTTCCGAACTCCTGGCCTCAAGCAATCCTCCCGCCTCAGCCTCCCAAAGTGCTGGAATTACAAGGGTGAGCCACTGCACCCAGCGCATGTAAATCTATTTTGTATCAGTGCAGGATATAAATAAAACTACAGTACACTTAGACAATATTCATTTGCCTCTGAAACCGGCAGAATAAAAATAAACACAGTTCAAGAATTCATGCTTAGAAAATATAAATCTACTTTAGTAGAACATCTTTAGTTATTTTTCTGTTTTTAAAAAACTTTTTTTTTTTTTTGAGATGGGGGTCTATGTTGATCAGGCTGGTCTTGAACTCCTGGCCTCAAGTGATCCTCCTATCTCAGCCTCCCAGCATGCTAGGATTGCAGGCGTTGAGCCACTGCACTGGGCCATCTTTAGTTATTTTTAAACCACATGTATGTACTATTTTGACAAAAATTATACCTAAAAATATATATATTGAAGAAGAACACAAACCTTCTCCTGGACCTCCACCACCACCACCCTTTGGAGTAATGAGTTCTCGACGAAGCTTAGCAAGACGAGCCTTAAGCAGCCCTAAGTGGTGTGCTGTGGCCTTGTTCTTTTGAGTCCGAGCCATCTAAAAGGGAGGAATCACAGCCATAAATTAGAAGCAGTGAACGCTTCCCCCAGCTTTGAGAGGATAATTTTTTTCCCCAAGTCCTACTAATGTTAGCACACCCAGTTTACAGGCTTTAAAAGAGTAAAAGTCCATTATCTCCTCCATCCAGCTCATTTCCCTCACTACAAAGCAAAGCAAAGCCCAAAGAGGAAAGACGATTAAGGTCATTCCAATTAGTGCCCCCAGACTAGACTGAAACCCGTCTGCGGGTTCCTTTTCTACTATTTGCAGCTGTTTGGATCCATCTAACACTGGGACACCACTTTCCTAATTGTAAAGCGCTCTCAGGGCCGCACGCAATGGAATCACACACTATCCAGGCGGAATAAACTGCTCCCACACAGATGTCATTTTACTTCCAGATCCGATTACCGGGAGCAAATACTCTGAATCAGGGGGTCATTAGGGTAGACACTGGGAAAAGGGGGAATAAGGGGGACGCAGCGAAGGATGATGAGGAAAGATCCTGAACTATCTGACCAAGTCAGAGATGGAATAAGGGACAGGATTCAGTGTTTCTCAGAGCAAAACGGAAAGAAACAACATCAGAACAGGAGCCAAACACTGGGAGGGGGAACGGACTAAGGGCCTAAGGTGCAGGGGTGCGGAACGCGGGCCCGGGCAAAGGGGAGTCCGAGAGCGTAGACGCGGGACGAGGGGAAAGGGGGCCCTGACTGAGGAGAGTCGGGGACTCCTAATCGTGGCAGAGGGCAGTCGGAACACGGGCCTCGCTGAGAGAAGTCGCGGAATCTAGGCCCGGTCCTGACGCGGCTCAAAGGAGAACAGGAAGGAGCGACGCCACCAAAGAAGGAATGCTCAGACTAAGAGTGAACCGCCAGCTGCGTCCATTACCTCTGCTTCTATCTCCGCGATCTTAGCTAAGGTGCTGCTCATCGTGGCGAGTACCCTGTGGCCTCCACACTGTCTCCCTTCACACACCCGCGGGCAAACTGCCACCGCCACCAGGCGCTACTGCAGCACGCAGGCGCGGTACTTCGAATTACCGCGAGAGAGTTCCGCGTAGGGGTCACCGCGAGTCGCAAAGCGTGGGGCTGTCTCCTCCCCCTCACCCGACCCCGCCCCGTCCCGCGAGCCAGTGCGGTGTCATAGAGCCCGCGGGAGCGGAGGCCAGAGAGGCCACCCCTGTCTGGGCCTCCCCGAGCGCGCCGAGGGTCGCGCGCAGCTCGGCCCCGCCCAGCGGGACCCGCTCCCAGCTGCTCTGCATGGTACTGAACGCTTCAGTGCTGGAGACCCCAGGGCGTGGTGCAAAGCCGACTCATGCTCCGCACCCCTGTTCCTCGCCAGCATCTGCGGGTCCTGGGTCCCTTTTTCACAGCTGGGGTGACACCCCGACGCCCTCCATGGTCTTGGAGGGAGTAGAGACCCATCTTCAGCCTGCCTCACCCCCTTGGATAAAGAAAATGCCCCCTTTCTATCATTCAAAATTATTTTTAGGTCGGTTTTGTTTACTCCGAACCCCGAGTAGAGCACATGGGGAGCCCAAAATAAGTGCATACTTGAATGGATAATTCCCAGAGAACTGCTGCTTGCAACATAGTTTGTAATACCAAAAAATTGAAATCTATATTAACACCCATCAGTAGGAAAATGGATAAATGAATAATGCCTCTATCCTGTTTTTGAAATATGATTACAGCCGTTAAAACGTAGATCTGTGGTCTGACTGGCTACCCAGGACATGTTAAATGGGAAAACAACTAGCAGAAGGGCACCTACGTAGTGATACCATTTATGTTATTTTTAAAATTAAATGTACATTTATATAGGTGTACGTGTATGAACGTGCAGTTTAAAGGCCTAAACAGAAAAATACATCAGAAGCTCTTAACTGTGGGATGGGATGCAAAGAAAAGGCCTTTCACATTTTATTCCACAGAATTTTGAAGTTAAATTTTTACAAGACGAATGTATCCATGTATTACTTGTGTAATAATAAAATTTAAAATTTCAAAAGACTCCTCTTCCCCAAGTGTCATGAGGAAGCCAGGACGTCCAGGAACTATGTGGTGGTTTTGAAAGCGGTTTGCCTCAGGATCAATGGGTTGTTTTGATAGATTGATTATTCCAGCGGGAGTCGACAGGCCAGGCTTAACCCACAGTCGACAGGCCAGGCTTAACCCACAGGGCTGGCCTCCACCCAGCCCTGGGAGGGAAGTTTAATTTAGTTAAATTTGTAAACAAGAACTATTCTAACTTCCCAGAGACAAAAAAGGGAGGTTTTCTTGTGCATAAAGAGGGAGAAACAGAAGGGAAAGCTTTTACAGAAGGTCCCCAAAGGGCCAAAGAGAGTTTCTTCTTTCTTTTCTTTAACCTCAGCCTTTTTCATAAATAAATTAAGGGATGATGAGGTAATTAGATCCCACACTATTAGCAATGGAGGAGGGAAGATGAGGAGGTCCAGCTGGAATGGGACATGATCAAAGATCAATCTTAAAAGACAGATAAAATCAAATCAGCAGGCCTATCCTAACTTGAAGTACTTAAGGAATTAATTGGCTGACAATATCAAGGGCATCACTGCTCTGTGAGTAGGTGCTCCTTAGCAAATCTATTATATGAGGCCTGCAGATAAGTTAACACTTACTGCTCAAAGACACCCTGGGACCCACCTTGGGGCCCTGAACTGTCAATAGGCACCAAAGAGTAATACTCATTTTCCCGAGTCCTGGGTGGCCATCCTGTTCATGCAATCGTTATTTACAGAGCTCCAACTGCTGCCTGGCACTGTGACAACACTGGGGACAGAGTAGAGAGTGAATCAGATATGTTCCTGCACATAACAAGTATTTAGGCCGGGCGCGGTGGCTCATGCCTGTAATCCCAGCACTTTGGGAGGCCGAGGTGGGTGGCAGATCACGAGGTCAGGAGATCGAGACCATCCTGGCTAATACGGTGAAACCCGGTGTCTACTAAAAATACAAAAAATTAGCCAGGCATGATGGCATGCACCTGTAGTCCCAGCTACTCAGGAAGCTGAGGCAGGAAAATCCCTTGAACCCGGGAGGCGGAGGTTGCAGTGAACCAAGAATGTGCCACTGCACTCCAGCCTGGCGACAGAGGGAGACTCAGTCTCAAAAAAAAAAAGTATCCAGGCTGGGGCTGGGCACAGTGGCTCACCCCTGTAATCCCAGCACTTTGGGAGGCCGAGGCAGGTGGATCACCTGAGGTCAGGAGTTCGAGACCAGCCTGGCCAGCATGGTGAAACCCCGTCTCTATTAAAAATACTAAAATTAGCCGGGCGTGGTGGCGGGCGCCTGTAATCCCAGCTACTCAGGAGGCTGAGCAGGAGAATCGCTTGAACCCGGGAGGCAGAGGTTGTAGTGAGCCGAGATCATGCCATTGCACTACAGCCTGGAGCCAGGACGACAAGAGCGAGACTCTATCTCAAGGAAGAAAAAAAAAGAAGTATCCAGGCTGGGAGGCCAAGGCCAGGACCTTAGGTTCAGCTCCTAAGAGCCATAGCTACCCCATGTCTGTTAAGTACCAACTGCAGCAAGGAGAGCCCATTTGGTCATATGAATAAAGCACTAGCACCTTGGTATTAAATGTGTAAAAAATAAATAGGCCGGGGACAGTGGCTCACAGTTTAATCCCAGTGCTTTCAGAGGTTGAGGTGGGAGGATCGCTTGAGGCCAGGAGTTCAAGACCAGCCTGGGCATTGAAGCCAGGAGTTCAAGACCTGCCTGGGCAACATAGGGAGACGCCCCATCTCTACAAAAAAAAAAAAATTAGCCGGTCTGCAAAAAATTTAAAAATTAGCCAGACGTGGTAGCACATACCTGTAGTCTGAGCTATGTGTGAGGCTGAGGCAGGAGGATCACTTGAGCCCAGGAGGTCAAGGCCACAGTAAGCCATGATCAGATCACTGCACTCCAGCTTGGGTAACAGCAAGACCCTGTCTCAAAAAAAAAAAAAAAAATTATTCAGGCTTGTTGGCCCGCACCTGTAGTCCTAGCTACTGGGAAGGCTCAGGCAGGAGGTTCACTGGAGCCCAGGACTTTGACGTTACACTGGGCTATGATCCCACCACTGCACTCCAGCCTGGGTGAAAGAGCGAGAAACTACCTCTAAAATAAATAATAAATAAGTAAAACAAAGATTGACAGAAAAGCTTCATCTCTTGATGAGACACTCCCACCATTCCAGAACAATTATATGTGGTCAAATACATAGGCTTTCTCGGGCACTGTTTTACTTCTCTTGACTCCCATTAAACCATGATCCCTGGCCAGGTTTGGTGGCTCACGCCTGGCTCACTCCCAGCACTTTGGGAGGCCAAGGCAGAAGGATCGCTTAAGCCCAGGAGTTTGGGACCAGCCTGGGTAACACAGCAATACCTCATCTCTACGAAAATAAAAAAAATTAGCTGGGTACAGGGGGCAACATGACGAAACCCCGTCTCTACAAAAAATCAGTGTGGTGGTATAATCTCAGCTACTCGGGAGGCTGAGGTGGGCCCAAGAAGACGAGGCTGCAGTAAGCTGTGATCATGCCACTGCACTTCAGCCTGGGTGACAGAGTGGGACCCTGTCTCAAAAAAACAAAACAGACAAAGAAGAAAAAAACAAAACAAAAAAGACATGATCCCATGAGGAAGGAGTGATACTATATCTATCTCCAGCACCAGCAGATGTGCAGCTACAACAACCTCTTGAAAGATATTTTAAAAATGGAAATTTTAAGAGAGAAATTGTTTTTTTTCAAGAAGCAGAAAAGATGTTTGAAGTGATGTATATCCCAGTTACTCTGATTTTATGACACATTGTATACATGTATCAAAATACCACATGTAGCCCCCAAATATGTACAACTATTAAATATCAACAAAAATTTTAGAATAAAATAACATAAAGAGAAAGAAAAAGTATTTAATTTTTTTTCTAAGTAGTCTGTATATGTTATTATAGACACCTTAATAATTGAGTCAGGTTGATGGAAGAAGTAACAGGATAATGATACAAGAAAAATCCATGTTATTTATTTATTTATTTATTATGAGACAGGGTCTTACTGTGTCACCCAGACTGGAGTGCAGTGGTGCAATCTAGGCTCACTGCAACCTCCGCCTCCAGGGCTCAGGCCATCCTCCCACCTCAGCCTCCCAAGTAGCTGGAACCACAGGCTTGCACTGCCATGCCCAACTTTTTTTTTTTTTTTTGTATTTTTAGTAGAGACAGGGTCTCACCATGTTACCTAGGCTGGTCTTGAACTCCTAAACTCAAGTGATCCACCCACCACGGCCTCTCAAAGTGCTGGGATTACAGGCATGAGCCACCACATTCAGCCATTACCATTTTTTTAAGGCTACCTTCTAAACAGATCAAAATTCCAAGTATATTGTAGCAGTAGAGAATGGGAAGCCCTGGATGAAGGATAGTGATTAACTTCATTACTGAGTGATAGATGTTTTCCTTTTAGAATGGGGAATCTCAGATGGGTATGGTGGCTCACACCTGTAATCCCAGCACTTCGGGAGGCCAAGGCAGGAGGATCGCTTCAGCCTAGGAGTTTGAGACCAGCCTGGGCAACATGGCAAGACTCCATCTCTATGAAAAAATAAAATAAGAAAGGGGAATCTCAGGAATGAGCACATCTAGGGCATAATGAAGACAGTTTTTCCCCTACAAATGTGTCTCATAAATGGAAAAAATAAAAGTTTATAAAAGTACTCCTTAAATCAAAGTCTGCTTCTTTCACCATCCAAGTTGGTGATTCCTTGATCCATGTCTAGTCATTTCAGTTCAGTTTGTATTATATGCCAGGGATGGTGACAGACACTGGGAATACAAAGAGACTTTTTTTTTTCCCTAGAAGACAAAAGAGGCGTGAAGGTATGGGAATGCCCAAATGTCAGTAATACAAGGCACAATGAGGTAGGTGTCCGAATAGTTACAGGGTGCCTTGTGAGATTCAAAGGAAAAAGTGCTCACATCTGGTTTGGGTCAGAAAAAGACTGGGAAAAGATGGGCCTGGAAAGATGGAGATAGGCATGGAGGAAAGAAAACATTCCAGGCAGATGAGCAAAGCCCAGACAAGGGGAAACACAGCACACATCTGCAGACTCCACAAGATGACAAGAGCCGCTGGGCTAGAGAGAGAGTGTATATAACAAGGAATCCTGAAATGGAATTTTTTTTGGGGAAAGTGTGTCCAGAGTTCCGTCCTCCTGGTGGGTTCTTGGTCTCACTGACTTCAAGAATGAAGCTGCAGACCTTCACAGTCAATGTTACAGCTCTTAAAGGTCGCACGGACCCAAGGAGTGAGCAGCAGCCAGATTCATTGCGAAGACCAAAATAGCAAAGCTTCCACAGCATGGGAGGGTACCCAAGTGAGTTGCCACTGCTGGCTTGGGGGAGGGAGGGGGGCCAGCTTTTATTCCCTTATTTGTCCCCACCCACATCCTGCTGATTGGTCCATTTTACAGAATGCTGATTGGTCCATTTCACAGAGCGCTGATTGGTCCATTTTACAAACCTCTGGCTAGCCACAGAGCACTGATTGGTGCATTTTTACAGAGCACTGATTGGCACATTTTACAAAACTCTAGCTAGCCACTGAACACTGATTGGTGTGTTTTACAATCCTAACTACAGAGTGCTGATTGGTGCCTTTTACAATCCTCTAGTAAGAAAGAAAAGTTCTCCAAGTCCCCACTCAACCAAGGAAGTCCAGCTGGCTTCACCTCCAACAGGATCTCACTCTGTCCCCCTGAGTGCAATGGCTGCAATGGTAGCTCACTGCAACATCCAGCTTCTAGGCTCAAGCCATCTTTCTGCCTCAGCCTCCCGAATAGCTAGGACTACAGACTTGTGCTACCACACCCAGCTAATTTTTTAATTTTTTGCAGTGATACGGTCTCACATTGTTGCCCAGGCTGGTCTCGAACTCCTGGCTTCAAGCGATTCTCCTGCCTTGGCTTCCCAAAGCATTGAGATTACAGATGGGAGAGACTGAACTTGGCCCATAAAACTATTCCTTTTTTTTTTTTTTGAGACGGAGTCTTGCTGTGTCACCTGGGCTGGAATGCGGTGGCACGATCTCGGCTCAATGCAACCGCTGCCTTCTGAGTTCAAGTGATTCTCCTGCCCCAGCCTCCCAAGTAGCTGGGACTACATGTGCCCACCACCATGCCTGGCTAATTTTTTTGTATTTTTAGTAGAGACGGGGTTTCACCATGTTGGCCAGGAAGGTCTCGATCTCCTGACCTCGTGATCCACCCGCCTTGGCCTCCCAAAGTGCTGGAATTACAGGCATGAGCCCCGTGCCTGGCCCAGAAAATTATTCTTAAATATCAGAACACCTTCTGCTCATTCAAGATCATGAATGTGGTTGGCATGGGCAGTCGTTTTGGGGTAAAAATAAAATACTACTCTGCTAAAGGATATAATAAACTTGTATTAACAAAAAGTTACAACAATGTCCAAAACCCCAGAATTATTGTTCTAAGTATCTTAAGAGAAGAAACAGAAGAACTGGACTAAAGAGAAACCCAATTAAAACCCTAGCGTAGAAATATTAATCTACTTTAGCAAAATGGAGGTGTTGGGACTGGGGGGAATATAAAAATAATTGTGATCTAAATGTTTAGTCTTTCTTTATTTGTGATATGTCAACAGATAAATATAGATTTGATCATGATGTTAGCAATGGGAAAGTAGCTATGTTGGAACTGATAAAACATAGCAGAGCTTCTAAAATAATAGAAGGATAGGCCAGATGCAGTGGCTCATGCCTGTAATCCCAGCACTTTGGGAGGCTGAGGTGGGAGGATCACTTGAGGTCAGGAGTTCAAGACCAGCCTGATGAACATGGTGAAACCTGTCTCTACTAAAAATACAGAAAGTATCTGGGCATGCCGGCATGCACCTATAATCCCAGCTACCCAGGAGGCTGAGGCAGGAGACTTGCTTGACCTGGGAGGCAGAGGTTGCAGTGAGCCGAGATCGTGCCACTGCACTCCAGCCTTGGCAACACAGTGAGACTTTGTCTCAAAAAATAAATAAATAAAATAAAATACAATAAAAGGGGGATGAAGAATTTGATTAAGGTACCAAAAGTAAGGAAAAGAGAAAGAGGAAATAATACAGTAGAATAAAATAGTAAGCATAAAATGGAACGAAAGAAATAATATCCAATATACCTGTTATCACACAATAAACAGGCTAATTCCCCTTCCAAAACCAGAGATTGTCAAATTGGACTTGTAAAAAATCTAGCTGGATTTTGTTTTTAAAATCCTTTTAAAAAGAAGAGACAGGGTATCCCTGTTGCTCAGGCTGGTTTCAAACTCCTGAGCTCAAGCAATCCTCCTGCTTCTGCCTCCCAAAGTGCTGGGATTACAGGCATGAGACACTGCGCTCAGCCTCTAGCTGGATTTGAAAAAAACAAAAAAACACCTAAACAATGTGACAAAGAAAGGACAAAAGAATGAAACTATTATTATTATTTTGAGACACAGTCTCACTCTGTCACCCAGGCTGGAGTGCAATGGCGCGATTTCAGCTCACTGCAACCTCTGTCTCCCAGGTTCAAGCGATTCTCCTGCCTCAGCCTTCCCAGTAGCTGGGATTACAAGCGCCCGCCACCATGCCCGGCTAATTTTTTTTTTTTTTTTTTTTTAGTAGAGACAAGGGTTTCACCATGCCAGCCAGGCTGGTTTCGAACTCCTGACCTCAAGTGATTCACCCACCTCAGCCCCACAAAGTTCTAGGATTCCAGGCGTGAGCTACTGTGCCTGGCCGAAAGAATGAAATTAGATGATGATCAAAGATATACCAGATAAATGCAACAAAAAGAAAGCAGTATTATTCATAATAGGTAAAAAGTGGAAATAACCCAAATGCCTGTCAACTGATGAATGAATAAATAAAATGTGGTATACTCATATAATGGAATAATATTCAACCATAAAAAAGGAACACAATACTCACACTACATACAACATGTATGAACCTTGAAAACTTTTTTTTTTTTTTTCTGAGATGGAGCCTCGCTCTGTTGCCCAGGCTGGAGTGCACTGGCACGATCTCGGCTCACTGCAACCGCCACTTCCCGGGTTCAGGTGATTCTGGTCCCTCAGCCTCCTGAGTAGCTGGGACTACAGGTGCCCACCACCACGCCCAGCTAATTTTTTTGTATTTTTAGTAGAGACGGGGTTTTGCCATGTTGGTCAGGCTGTTCTTGAACTACTAACCTCAAGTGATCCGCCCACCGGCCTCCCAAAGTGCTGGGATTACAAGCGTGAGCCACTGCACCCAGCAAAAACATTATGCTGAGTGAAAGAAGTCAGTCACAAAGATCATATACTGTGTGATATCATTTATTTATTTATTTGAGACGGAGTCTCATTCTGTCACCCAAGCTGGAAGTATCATTTACACAAAATGTCTAGAATAGTTAAATCTATATATAGAGAAAGTAGATTAGGACTTGAGCTCAGGAGCTCAAGACCAGCCTGGGCAAAATGACAAGACCCCAACTCTACCAAAAATACAAAAATTAGGCAGGCATGGTGGTGCACGCCTGTAGTCTCAGCTACTTGGGGGGCTGAGGCAGGAGGATTGATTGAGCTGGGGAGGTGGAGGCTGCAGTGAGCTGTGATCAAGCCACTGCACTCCAGCCTGGGCAAAAGAGTGAGACCCTATCTAAAAAAAAAAAAAAAAAAAAAAAAAGAAGTAAAACTCGTATCGTAGAAGAAAACAATAAATTGTGACCTTGGATTAGACAATTATTTCTCACACCTGTAATCCCAGCACTCTGGGAGGCCGGGGTGGACAGATCACCTGAGGTCAGGAGTTCGAGACCAGCATGGCCAACAAGGTGAAACCCCATCTCTACTAAAAATACCAAAATTAGCCGAGCACAGTGGTGGGTGCCTGTAGTCCTAGCTACTTGGGAGGCTGAGGCAGGAGAATCATTTAAACCCAGGAAGTGGAGGTTGCAGTGAGCCAAGATCACACCACCGCCCTCCAGCCTGGGCAACAGAGTGAGACTCCATCTCAAAAAAAAAGGCACAAGAGGACAATTGAAGATGAAAAAACAAAACCAAAATCTTTCAAATAGTCCAAATATTACAGAGATTACATAAACTACATTTTCTGAACATAATCCAGTAAAACTAAATATAAGCAACAAAGATATAGCAGATAAATATAACCCAGAAATTAAGAAATACTTTCCTAAATATGGCCTGGCGTGGTGGCTCATGCCTGTAATTCCAGAACTTTGGGAGGCCGAGGCGGGTGGATCATAAGGTCAGGAGATCGAGACCATCCTGCCTAACACAGTGAAACCCTGTTCTCTACCAAAAATAGAAAAAACTAGCCGGGTGTGGTGACGGGCGCCTGTAGTCCCCGCCACTCAGGAGGCTGAGGCAGGAGAATGGCGTGAACCCAGGAGGCGGAGGTTTCAGTGAGCAGAGATCACGCCACTGCACTCCAGCCTGGGTGACAGAGTGAGACTCCATCTCAAAAAAAAAAAAAAAAAAAAACTTTCCTAAATAAATAAAACCAAAAAGTGAAATTTCAATTATCTAAATCATATGAATCTTTATACCAAAACTATAGGAATGCTGCTAAAGCTGTACTCAGTGAAAATTGTGTGGTATTAAAAGTTTTTATTATTTTTTCTATTTTTTCAAAATATAAATTCATTAAACATTCAAATTAAGAGAGACAAGAAAAAACAAAAGAGAATAAAATTTTAAAAATAAATTAGAAAAAGAACCATGCAGGCCAGGTGCAGTGGCTCAGGCCTGTAATCCCAGCACTTTGGGAGGTTGAGGTGGGAGGATGACTTGAGCCCAGGAGTTCAGGATCAGCTTGGGCAACATGGCAAAACTCCATCTCTACAAAAAATACCAGAATTAACTGGTCGTGGTAGCATGTTACTGTAGTCCCAGCTACTCAGCAGATTGAGGTGGGAAATCACTTGAGATCGGCAAGCAGAGGTTGAAATGAGCCAGGATTGCATCTTTGCAGCCTGGGCAACAAAACGAGACCTTGTCTTAAAAGGAAAAGGAAGGGAAGGGGAGGGGAGGGGAGGCAAGGGAAGGGGAGGGGAGGGAAGGGAAGGGGAGGGGAGGGGAGGGAAGAGGAGGGGAGGAAGGAAAGGAAGGAAGGAAAGAAGGAGGGAGGGAGGGAAGGAAGGAAGGAGGGAGAGAGGGAAGGAAGGAAGGAAGGAAAAAAGAAAGAGAACCATATAACAAAAATAAAATACTAAAAGTTAAAAATCTAAAATTAATAAAATAACAATTTGTCAATAATAGGCCAGGCATGTATAATCGCAACACTTTGGGAGGCTGAGGTAGAAGAACTGCTTGAGGCCAGGAGTTTGAGACCAGCCTGGGCAATATAGGGAGACCTTATCTCTACAAAAAATTAAAAAATTAGCTGGGTTGGTGGTGCATGCCTGTGTTTCCAGCTACTGGGGAGGCTGAGGTGGGAGGATTACTTAAGGCCAGGAATTCAAGGTTGCAGTGAGCCAGGATCATGCCACTGCACTCCAGACTAGGTAATGGAGTGAAACCCTGTATCCGGAAAAAAAAAAAAAAAAGTTACTTGAAAGGGTTGGACAAGGTGGCTCACACCTGTACTCCCAGCACTTTGGGAGGCCAAAGTAGGGAGATCACTGCAGGCCAGGAGTTGGAGACCAGCCTGGGCAACATAGCAAGACCTTGTCTCTACAAAAAAATAAAAATAAAAATAAAAATGAGCTTGGTGTGCTTGCTTCAGCAGCACATATACTAAAATTGGAATGATACAGAGAAGATTAGCATGGCCCCTGTGCAAGGATGATGCAAATTCATGAAATGTTCCATATTTTTCTGGATCAAAAAACAAAACTCAATGGTATTCTGTCTTCAACAGCCCTATCTCATCCATAGTCTCAAAAAAATAAAATAAAAAGGATGGAGGAAAAAGTACCAAGCAAATGGAAATCAGAAAAAAGCAGGAGTTGCAATCCTAATTTCAGATAAAACAGACTTTAAACCAACAAAGGTCAAAAAAGACAAAGGACATTATAGTGGTAAAGGGTTCAATTCAACAAGAAGACCTAACTGTCTTAAATATATATGACCCAACACAGAAGCACCCAGATTCATAAAGCAAGTTATTAGGGCTCTTCAAAGAGACTTAGACTCCCACACAGTAATAGTAGAACACTTCACTAACAGTATTAGACAGATCATCGAAACAGAAACTTAACAAAGATATTCAGGACCTGAACTCAACATTGGACCAAATGGATCTGATAGACCTCTACAGAGCTCTCCTCTGCAAAACAACAGAATATACATTCTTCTCATTACCACATGCAACATAATCTAAAATTGACCACACAATTGGACATAAAACAATCCTTAGCAAATGCAAAAGAACCAAAATCATACCAAACATACTCTTGAACCACAATGCAATAAAAACAAAAATCAAGACATTAAAAATTGCCCAAAACCATACAATTACATGCTCCTGAATGACTTTTGTGTAAGTAATGAAATTAAGGCAGAAATCAAGTAGTTCTTTGAAACTAATGAGAAAAAAGATACAACATATTAGAATCTCTGGGACACAGCTAAGGCAGTGTTAAGAGGGAAATTATAGCACGAAACACCAACATCAAAAAGTTAGAAAGATCTTGCCGGCACGGTGGTTCACACCTGTAATCCCAGCACACTGGGAGGCTGAGGTGGGAGGATCATGAGGTCAGGAGTTCAAGACCAGCCGGGTCAACATAGTGAAACCCCATCTCTACTAAAAATACAAAAATTAGCCAGGCTTGGTGGCGCGCACCTGTAGTCCCAGCTACTTGGGAGGCTGAGGCAGGAAAATTGCTTGAACCTGGGAGGCGAAGGTTGTGGTGAGCCGAGACCACGCCACTGCACTCCAGCCTGGGCAACAAAGCAAGACTCCACCTCAAAAAAAAAAAAAAAAAGTTAGAAAGGTCTCAAAAACTTAGAAAGAGAACCATAAAATAGTAGGAGTGTTGAAGTCTCCTACTATTACTGTGTGGGAGTCTAAGTCTCTTTGAAGAGCGCTAATAACTTGCTTTATGAATCTGGGTGCTGCTGTGTTGGGTCATATATATTCAGCCTAATATCATAACTAAAAGAAACTAGAGAAGAGGCCGGGCACAATGGCTCATGCCTGTAATCTCAGCACTGTGGGAGGCCGAGGCAGGTGGATCACTTGAGGTCAGGAGGTCGAGACCAGCATGGCCAACATGGTGAAGCCTCATCTCTACTAAAAATATAAAAATTAGCTGGGTGTGGTAACATGCGCCTGTAATCTCAGCTACTTGGGAGGTGGAGGCAGGGGAATCGCTTGAACCTGGGAGGCTGAGGTTGCAGAGAGCCGAGACTGCATCACTGCATTCCTGTCTGGGCAACAGGATGAGACTCCATCTCAAAAAAAAAGAACTAGAGGCTAGGCTCAGTGGCTCATGCCTGTAATCCCAGCACTTTGGGAGGCTGAGGCGGGTGGATCACAAGGTTAGGAGTTTGACACCAGCCTGGTCAATATGGTGAAACCCTGTCTCTACTAAAAATACAAAAGTTAGCTGGGTGTGGTGGCCGGCACCTGTAGTCCCAGCTACTTGGGAGGCTGAGGCAGGAGAATCACTTGAACCTGGGAGGCGGAGGTTGCAGTGACCCAAGATCACGCCACTGCACTCCAGCCTGGGCGACAGAGTGAGACTTTGTCTCAAAAAAAAAAAAAGAACTAGAGAAGCAAGAGCAAACCAACCCCAAAGCTAGCAGAAAAATAACCAAAATCAGAGCTGAACTGAAGGAAATCAAGACACAAAAAGCCATTCAAAAGATCAATGAATCCAGGAGTTGGTTGTTTGTTTGTTTTTTTTTTTTGAAAAATTAGTAAGATAGGCCACTAGCTGGACTAATGAAGAAAGAGAGAAGATCCAAATAAACACAATTAAGGCAGGGCACGGTGGCTCATGTCTGTAATCCCAGCACTTTGGGAGGCCAAGGCGGGTGGATCATTGAGGTCAGGAGTTCAAGACCAGCCTGGCCAACACGGCAAAATCTTGTCTCTACTAAAGATACAAAAATTAGCCAGGCGTGCTGGTGGGCGCCTGCAATCCCAGCTACTTGAGATGCTGAGGCAGGAGAATCACCTGAATCCAGGAGGTGGAGGTTGCAGTGAGCCCAGATCACGCCACTGCACTCTAACCTGGGCGACAGAGCAAGACTCCATCTCAAAAATAAGTAAATATGGCTCATGCCTGTAATCCCAGCACTTTGGGAGGCCAAGGTGGGTGATCACTTGAGGTCAGGAGTTCGAGACCAGTCTGGCCAACATGGTAAAATCCCGTCTCTACTAAAAATACAAAAATTAGCCGGGCATGGTGACATATGCCTATAATCCCTGCTACTTGGTAGGCGGAGCCACGAGAATCTCTTGAACCTGAGAGGCAGAGGTTGCAGTGAGCCAAAATGGTGCCACTTCACTACAATCGGAACAACAGAACGAGACTCCATCTCAAAAAATAAATAAATAAATAAATAAACAAAAAATAAATAAACATAGTTAGAAATGACAAAGGGGATGTTACCAGTGACCCCACAGAAATAAAAATAACCATCGCAGGCTACTATGAACACCTCTATGCACACAAACTAGGAAACCTAGAAGCGGCCAGGCACAGTGGCTCATACCTGTAATCCTAGCACTTTGGGAGGCTGAGGCGGGCAGATCACCTGAGGTCAGGAGTTCAAGAACAGCCTGGCCAACATGGTGAAACCCCATCTCTACTAAAAATACAAAAATTAGCTGGGCGTGGTGGCACATGCCTTTAATCCCAGGTACTTGGGAGGCTGAGTCAGGAGAATTGCTTAAACTCAGGAGGCAGAGGCTGCAGTGAGCCGAGATTGCGCCACTGCACCCCACACTGGGTGACAGAGTGAGACTCCATCTCAAAAAAGAATAATAATAAAAACCTAGAAGAGATGGATACATTCCTGGACACATACACCTTCCCAAAACTGAAACAAGAAGAAATAGATTCCCTGAACAGAACAATAATGAGCTCCAAAATGAAATCAGTAATAAATAGCCTACTAACAAAGAAAAGCCCAGGACCAGATGAAGTCACAGCCGAATTCCACCAGATGTACAAAGACGGGATAGTACTATTTCTTCTGAAACTATTTCAAAAAATTGAGGCAGAGGGACTCCTCCCCAACTCATTCTGTGAGCCCGGCATCATCCTGACACTAAAACCTGGCAGAGACACACCCAAAATAGAAAACTTCAAGCCAATATCCTTGATGAACATCGATGCAGAAATCCTCAACAAAATACTTGCAAATTGAATCCAGCAGCACATCAAAAAGCAAATCCACCACGATCAAATAGGGTTTATTCCTGGGATGCAAGGTTGGTTTTACATCCACAAATCAATAAAAGTGATTCATCACATAAACAGAACTAAAGACAAAAACCACATGATTATCTCAATAGATGCAGAAAAGTCTTTCGATAAAATTCAACATCGCTTCGTATTAAAAACTGTCAGTAAACTAGATTTTGAAGGAACATACCTCAAAATAATAACAGCTATCTGTGACAGACCCAAAGCCAACATCATACTGAATGGGCAAAAGCTGAAAGCATTCTCTTTGAAAACTGGCACAAGACCCGGGTGCCCTTTCTCACCACTCCTATTCAACACAGGGTTGGAAGTCCTGGTCAGAGCAGTCAGGCAAGAGAAAGAAATAAAGGGCAACCAAATAGGAAGACAGGAGGTCAGAGTATCTCTCTTTGCAGAAGACATGATTCTACATCTAGAAAACCCTATAGTCCCTGTACAAAAGATTCTTCAGCTGATAAACTTCAGCAGTTTCAGGATACAAAATCAATGTACAAAAATCACTAGCATGCCTATATACCAACAACAGCCAAGCCAAGACACAAATGACAAAATCCCATTCACAACTGCCACAAAAATAATAAAATGCCGCCAGGTGCAGTGGCTCATGCCTGTAATCTCAGCACTTTGGGAGGCCGAGGCGGGTGGATCACCTGAGGTTGGGAGTTCGAGACCAGCCTGACCTACATGGAGAAACCCTGTCTCTACTAAAAATACAAAAAAAAAAAAAAAAAAAAATTAGTAGGGCGTGGTGGCACATGCCTGTAATCCCAGCTACTCGGGAGGCTGAGGCAGGAAAATCGCTTGAACCCAGGATGGAGGTTGCGGTGAGCCGAGATTGAGCCATTGCACTCCAGCCTGGGCAACAAGAGTGAAACTCAGTTTCAAAAAATAAATAAATAAATAAAATGCCTATGAATACAGCTAACCAGGGAGGTGAGAGATCTCTACAATGATAATTACAAAACACTGCTCAAAGAAATCAGAGATGACACAAATGAATGGAAAAACATTCCATGCTCATGGATAGGAAAAAATCAGTATCATTAAAATAGCCATATAGCCCAAAGCAATTTACAGATTCAATGCTATTCCTATCAAACTACCACTAATATTCTTCACAGAACTAGAAAAAAAAACTATTTTAAAATTCATATGGGACCAAAAAACAGCCTGAATACCAAGGCAATCTTAAACAAAAAGAACAAAGCTGGAGGCTTCAAACTACCCAACTTCAAACTATACTACAGGGCTACAGTAACCAAAATAGCATGGTACTGGGTACAAAAACAGACCGATAGGCCAATGGAATATAATAGGGAGCCCAGAAATGAGGCTGCACACTCACCTACAACCGTTTGATCTTTGACAAAGCTGAAAAAACAAGCGGTGGGAAAAGAACTCCCTATTCAATGAAAGGGGCTGGGATAACTGGCTAGCCATATGCGGAAGATTGAAACTGGACCCTTTTCTTTTCTTTCTTTCTTTTTTTTTTTTTTTTTTTTGAGACAGAGTCTCGCTCTGTCGCCCAGACTGGAGTGCAGTGGCTCCATCTCGGCTCACTGCAAGCTCCGCCTTCTAAGTTCACGTCATTCTCCTGCTTCAGCCTCCTGAGCAGCTGGGACTACAGGCGCCCGCCACCACGCCCGGCTAACTTTTTGTATTTTTAGTAGAGATGGGGTTTCACCGTGTTAGGTAGGATGGTCTCGATCTCCTGACCTCGTGATCCGCCCGCCTCCGCCTCCGCCTCCCAAAGTGCTGGAATTACAGGCGTAAGCCACTGCGCCCGGCCCCGAAACTGGACCCTTTTCTTACACCATATGCAAAAACCAACTCAGGGCCGGGTGAGGTGGCTCATGCCTGTAATCCCAGCACTTTGGGAGGCTGAGTCGGGTGGATCACCTGAGATCAGGAGTTCAAGACGAGCCTGACCAACATCGTGAAACCTTGTCTCTACTAAAAGTACAAAAATGAGCTGGGTATGGTGGCACACACTTGTAATCCCAGCTACTCAGGAGGCTGAGGCAGGAGAATCACTTGAACCTGGGAGGTGGAGGTTGCAGCGAGCCAAGATAGCGCCATTGCACTCCAGCAACGGCAACAAGAGCGAAACTCCATCTTAAAAAAAAAAAAAAATCAACTCAGGATAAAGACTTAATTGTAAAACCCAAAAGTATAACAACCCTGGATGACAACCTAGGCAATACCATTGGGGATGTAGAAACTGGCAAAGATTTCATGACAAAGACACTGAAAGCAATCACAACAAAAGCAAAAATTGACAAGATCTAGTTAAACTAAAGAGCTTCTGCACAGCAAAAGAAACTATCAACACAGTAAATGAACAACCTACAGAATGAGAGAAAATATTCGCAAGCTATGCATCTGAAAAAAAGGTCTAATATCCAGCATGTATAAGGAAATTGAAGACTTTTTTTTTTTTTTTTTTTGAGACTGAGTTTTGAGACTGAGTGCTGGGCTGGAACTTGAACAAATTTACAAGGGAAAAAACCCAACCCCGTTAAAAAGTGGGCAAAGGACATGTGCCGACAATTTTCAAAAGAAGACAGAGATGTGGCCAACAAGTATATGAAAAATGGCTCAATATCACTGATCATTTGAGAAATGCAAATCAAAACCACAATGAGATACTCCCTCATACTAGTCAGAATGGCTATTAATAAAAAGTCAAGGCCAGGTGCAGTGCTCATGCCTGTTATCCCAGCACTTTGGGAGGCCGAGGCAGGTGGATCACCTGAAGTCAGAAGTTCGAGACCAGCCTGGCCAACATGTTGAAACCCCGTCTTTACTAAAAATACAAAAATTAGCCAGGCGTGGTGGCCCTTGCCTGTAATCCCAGCTACTCTGGGAGGCTGAAGCAGGATAATCGCTTGAACCCAGGAGGAAGAGGTTGCAGTGAGCCGAGATTGCGCCATTGCACTCCAGCCTGGACAGCAAGAGCGAAACTCTGTCTTAAAAAAAAAAAAAGGGGGCCAGACGTGGTGGCTCACGCCTGTAATCCCAGCACTTTGGGAGGCCGAGGCAGGCAGATCACAAGGTCAGGAGATCAAGACCATCCTGGCTAACACAGTGAAACCCCGTCTCTACTAAAAATACAAAAAATTAGTTGGGCGTCATGGCGGGCGCCTGTAGTACCAGCTACTCAGGAGGCTGAGGCAGGAGAATGACTTGAACCCAAAAGGCGGAGCTTGCAGTGAGCCAAGATGGCACCACTGCACTCCAGCCTGGGCGACAGAGCGAGACTCTGTCTCAAAAAAAAAAAAAAAAAAAGTGAAAAAACCCCACAGATACTGGTGAGGTTGTGGAGAAAAGGGAACACTTATGCACTGTTGGTGGGAATGTAAATTAGTTCAACCACTATGGAAAGTAGTCTGGTGATTCCTGAAAGAGCTACAAACAGAACTACCATTTGACCCAGCAATCCCATTACAGGGTAGATACCCAAAGGAATATATATCATTCCACCATAAAGATACATGCATGCATATATTCATCACAGCACCATCCACAATAGCAAAGACGTGGAATCACCTAAATGCCCATCAATGACAGACTGGATAAAGAAAATGTGGTACATATACACCATGTAATACTATGCAGCCACAAAAAAGAAGATCATGTCCTTTGCAGGAACATGGATGAAACTGGAGGCCATTATCCTTAGCAAACTAACACAGGAACAGAAAAACAAATACCATATGTTCTCACTTATAAGTGGGAGCTCAGCTGGACGTGGTGGCTCACACCTGTAATCACAGCACTTTGGAAGGCTGAGGCAGGTGGATCACCTGAGGTCAAGAATTTGAGACCAGTCTGACCAACATGGTGAAACCTTGTCTCTACTAAAAACATACAAAAATATTAGCTGGGTGTGGTGGTGCATGCCTGTAATCCCAGCTACTCAGAGGCTAAGGCAGGACAATTGCTTGTACATATAAATGTGTGTGTGTGTGTGTGTGTGCGCGCGCTCAATAAGAACACATGGACACAAAGAGGGGAACAACAGACACTGGGACCTACTTGAGGGTGCAGGGCGGGAGAAAGGAAATGATCAGAAAAAATAACTATTGGTTACCAGGCTTTGTACCTGAGTGATGAAATAATCTGTACAATAAACCCCCATAACACGAGCTTACCTATATAACAAACTTGCACAGCTGTTCCTGAACCTAAAATAAAAGTAAAAAAAAAAAAATTTAGCTTGATGTAGTGGTGCACACCTGTAGTCTTGGCTACTCAGGAGGCTGAGGCAGGAAGATACCTTGAGCCCAGGAGGTTGCAGTGAGCTATAATCATGCCAGTATTCTCTAGCCTAGGCAATAGAGCGAGACCCTGTCTTAAAAAAAAAAAAGAAAGAAAGAAAGAAAGAAGAACTTGAAAAGATGAAAGGATCAGTAAAACAGAAAGGAAAAATATCTCAAAATGCTTGAATAAGGATAGAAAGAAAAAATAGGCCAGGCACAGTGGCTCACGCCTGTAATCCCAGCACTTGGAGGGGCCAAGGTGGGCAGATCACTTGAGATCAGGAGTTAGAGACCAGCCTGGCCAATATGGCAAAATGCTGTCTCTACTAAAAACACAAAAATTAGCTGGGTGTGGTGGCGCATGCCACTGCACTCCAGTCTGGGCAACAGAGTGAGATTCCGTCTCAAAAAATAAAATAAAATAAATAAATAGCAATCTTGAGTAAGAAAGGACATACAACCACTGATAATAGCAAATTAAAAGAATTACAAGCCTGGGCAACATGGTGAAACCCTGTCTCTACTAAAAATACAAAACTTAGCTGGGTGTGGTGGTGCATGCCTGTAGTCCCAGCTACTCGGGAGGCTGAGGCATGAGAATCGCTTCAACCCAGGAGGCAGAGGCTGCAGTGAGCCGACATCACGTCACTGCACTCCAGCCTGGACAACAGAGCAAGATCTTATTTAAAAAAAGAAAAAAAGAATTACAAAAGACTATTACATGTAACTCTCTGCCAAATACTTAGAAAATCTAGCGGAACCTGTAATCCCAGCACTTTGGGAGGCTGAGGCAGGGGGATTGCTTGAGGCCAGGAGTTTGAGACCAGCCTGGGTAACATGGCAAAACCCCATCTGTACTAAAAATACAAAAGTTAGCCAGGCATGGTGGCTCAGACCTGTAGTCCCAGCTACTTGGGAGGCTGAGGCATGAGAATCGCTTGAACCTGGGAGGCGGAGGTTGCAGTGAGCCAAGATCGCGTCATCACACTCTAGCCTGGGCGAGAGTGAGACTCTGTCTCAAAAAAAAAGGAAAAGAAAAGGAAATATAGGAGAAATAATGACTTCCATATAAAAAATAAAATAAAATGTTACAATTTTCCCAAGAAGAGAGATAAGATGTAAATACACTAATAAGTATAAAAGAAATTAGAAGCCGGAAACGGTGTCTCACACCTATAATCCTAGCACTGTGGGAGACTGAGGCGGATAGATCACCTGAGGTCAGGAGTTCAAGACCAGGCTGGCCAACATGGTGAAACTCCATCTCTACCAAAAAGACAAAACTTAGCCAGGTCTCGTGGCTTGCGCCTGTATCCCAGCTACTTGGGAGGCTGAGGCACAAGAATCATTTCAACTGGGGAGGTGGAGGTTGCAGTGAGCCAAGATGGTGCCACTGCACTCCAGCCTGGGCGACAGAGCGAGTCTCCATCTCAAAAATAGATAGATAGATAAATAAATAAAACAAAATAGAAATAAAAGAAATTAGAAAAGTAAGTCTTCATTTTAAAAGGCATCAGGCTTAGATGGTTTTACAGCTGAGTCTTGTTTTGTTTGTTTGTTTGTTTGTTTGTTTGTTTGTTTGTTTAAGACGGAGTCTCACTCTGTTGCCCGGGCTGGAGTGCAGTGGCACCATCTCGACTCACTGCAACCTCTGCCTCCTGGGTTCAAGCGATTCTCCTTAGCCTCCTGAGCAGCTGGGATTACAGGTGCATGCCACCACGCCCAGCTAATTTTTTTTTTTTTTTTTTTTTTTTTTAGTAGAGACAGGGTTTCACCATGTTGGCCAGGCTGGCCTCGAACTCCTGACCTTAAGTGATCCACCCGGCTTGGCCTCCCAAAGTGCTGGGATTACAGGTGTGAGCCACCATGCGCAGCCAGTTGTCTCCGATTGTAAAGAACAGGTGGAGCCTTATCTTAATTTCTTCATTGTGCTAATAGTTCCATGGGTATACACGTAAGTCAAAACTCATCAAATTGTACACTTTAAGTATGAACAATTTCTTATATGTCAATTATACTTCTGAAAAGATGTTTACATGATGAAAATGAAAGTAAGACTTCCACTTTCAGTGATGATGAACTCATCCAACAATCTTTTTTTTTTTTGAGACAGAGTCTCGTTCTGTCATCCAGGCTGGAGTACAGTGGCATGATCTCAGCTCACTGCAACCTCTGCCTCACAGGTTCAAGAGATTCTCCTCCCTCAGCCTCCCGAGTAGCTGGGATTACAAGCGTGTGCCACCATGCCCAGCTATTTTTTTTATTTTAGTGGAGATGGGGTTTCACCATGTGGCCAGGCTGGTCTCAAACTCCTGACCTCAAGTGATCCGCCCACCTCAGCCTCCCAAAGTGCTGGGATTACAGGTGTGAGCCACCGCGCCCCGCCCAACAATATTAAAGAACTATAAAACTGGACAAAATCAGAGGCAGATGTTTTCAGTTATTTAAAAAAAGGCAAAATAGACTATGATTCTTGAGAAAAAGGGAAATAGAAAAGATAAGCCCTATGTTTGTCCTGGCTTTCTGCCTGGGGACAATTTCCCAATTACAGTGGAGGAAAGTGGATTCCAAGCAAAGGAGAATTCTTCCTGAGCTGCAGAGGCAGAAATCAGTGTTTGGGGCTGCTGAAGTAGCTGGAATGTGTAGGACAGGGCACAGAAAAGAAGGGAGCAGCACCATAGGGAGTGGGAAGAGACAGAAGTTTACATGTGGCCTGTAATCCCAGCACTTTGGAAGGCCGGGTGCGCTGATCACTTGAGGTCAGGAGTTGGACACCATGCTGGCCAACATGCTGAAACCCCGTCTCTACTAAAAATACAAAAATTAGCTGGGCATGGTGGCGCATGCCTGTAATCCCAGCTACTTCAGAGGGTGAAGCAGGAGAATCACCTGAACCTGGGAGGTGAAGGTTGCAGTGAGCTGAGATCGTCCCTTTGCACTCAAGCCTGGGCAACAGAATAAGACTTGGGATGGAAGGGGAGGGGAGGGGAAGAGGGAGGGGGAGGTTAGGTTTACATGGGAATTCCTCTTGCCTCTCTAGCCAAAAAAGGCTGGGCTGTGGGCTATGCATGTACAGAGTGGGACTCTGCGAGGCCCAGCAGAGAACAACTGTTGCAGGATTGACAGCTGAACAGAGATAACAGCTTTTGCTCAGTGTTGGGACATGTGGGAGTTCAAATCCAGCCAGAGTGAAAAGAACATGCCAAATATCTTGGGCATTCAGTTGAGATCCTCAAAAGGCCATGCGTCAGGAGTAAGGACTAAGTGCTAGAATAAGGTCCATGCCTTAGGACCAAAGACAAAACCAAAATAAATCTGCCTAAACAAAACTTAAAACCAAACCTGACAGGAACAAGAGGATTCACCAGTAATTTACCTACCAGAACAAAACTTAAAGCTCCTTGCCTAGGTGTGGTGGCTCACACGTGTAATCGCAGCACTTTGGGAGGCCGAGGTGGGCAGATCACCTGAGGTCAGGAGTTCCAGACCAGCCTGGCCAATATGATGAAACCCCATCTCTACTAAAAATACAAAAATTAGCCAGGCGTGGTGGCGTGTGCCTGTACTCCCAGCCGCTCAGGAGGCTGAGGCAGGAGAATCACTCAAACCGGGGAGGTGGAGGTTGCAGTGAGCTGAGATCATACTGCTGCATTCCAGCCTGGGCGACAGAGCAAGACTCTTCTCAAAAAAAAAAAAAAAAAAAAGTCAGGGGGACCTCCTCTTTCGGCTTTGGAGCCCCCCTCCTTCTGTTTCTGTATGAGGGAGCCTCTTCCTTCTGCCTTCTTTCTTGCCTATTAAACTCTCCACTCCTTAAAACCAAACAACAAAAAAAAAAGCAAAAATTAGCTGGAGCCGGACGTGGTGGCACGCACCTGTAATCCCAGCTACTTGGGAGGCTGAGTCAGGAGAATCGCTTGAACCCAGGAGGTGGAGGTTGCAGTGAGCTGAGATCGTGCCACTGTACTCCAGCCTGGGCAACAGAGCAAGACCCTGTTTCAAAACAAAACGAAACAAAATAAAACAAAGTAAAAAAACTGAAAGCCTTTGAAAGGAAGGCAACAAAATCCAGACTCCAGATCATAATCTGTAACATTCATAATGTCTACCATACAATAAAGAAGTACTAGACTTGCAAAGATGGAAGAAAATGAGACACGATCTAGAGAAAAGGGCCAAGTAAAGTGGCTCACACCTACAATCCCAGAGCTTTGGGAGACCAAGGCAGGAGGATCATTTGAGGCCAGGAGTTTCAGGATGCAGTGAGCTATAGTTGTGCCACTGCACTCCAGCCAGGGCGACAGAGCAAGACCTTGACTCTAAAAATAATAATAAAAATTTTTGAAATCTAGAAAAAAGGTCAGAAGAAAAAGGGACCTAGATGTTGGAATTAACAGAAAAGGACTTAATACAACTATTATAAACACGTTCAAGAATTAAAAGGAGGCCAGGAATGGTGGTTCACACCTATAATTCTAGCACTTTCAGAGGCCCAGATGGGTGGATCACCTGAGGTCAGGAGTTCAAGACCAGCCTGGCCAACATGGTGAAACCCCATCTCTACTAAAAATACAAAAAGTAGCCAGGCATGGTCGTGGGCACCTGTAATCTCAGGTACTCGGGAGGCTGAGGCAGGAGAATCACTTGCAGTGGAGGTGGAGTGGAGGTTGCAGTGAGCCGAGATCATACCACTCCACGTCAACCTGGGCGACAAACTGAGACTCCGTCTCAAAAAAATAATTTTTTTTTTTAAAGAATTAAAAGGAAGGGCTGGGCACGGTGGCTCATGCCTGTAATCCCAGCACTTTGGGAGGCTGAGGTGGGCGGACCACGAGGTCAGGAGATCGAGATCATCTTGGCTAACACGGTGAAACCCCATCTCTACTAAAAATACAAAAATTAGCCGGGCGTGGTGGCACGCACCTGTAGTCCCAGCTACTCAGGGGTTGAGGCAGGAGAATCCCTTGAACCCGGGAGGCAGATGTTGCAGTAGTAAGTGGAGATCGCGCCACTGCACTCCAGCCTGGGCAACAGAGCGAGACTCTGTCTCAAAAGAAAAAAAAAGGAATTAAAAGGAAAATATGGACTGGTTGTGGTGGCTCACGCCTGTAATCCCAGCAATTTTGGAGGCCGAGGCGGGCAGATCACTTAAGGTCAGGAGTTCCAAGACCAGCCTGGCCAACATGGTGAAACCCTGTCTCTACCAAAAATATAAAAAATTAGTCGGGTATGGTAGTGCGAGTTTGTAATCCCAGCTACTTGGGAAGCTGAGAACCTGGGAGGTGGGGGTTGTAGTAAGCCAAGATTACACCACTGCATTCCAGCCGGGGCAACAGAGTGAGACTCCCTCTCAAAAAAAAAAAAAAAAAAAAAAAAAGGCCATAGTGAAGTAACATCTCAACAGAAAAATGAAAAATATAAAAAATGGGATTCATGGAAAAGTACAATGTCAGAAATGAAAAATTCACCATGGAGAGTTAACAAAAGATTAAAAAGTACAGAGTAAAGCTAAAATAAACTTGAAGGACCAATAAAAGTTATCCAAGTTGGAAAAACAGAAAGGAAAAAATGAACAGAGTCTTAGTGTCTCCTGGGCCACTAGCAAACTATAACACCTGTAATAGGAGTCCACAAGGAGAGAAGAGATAATGGAGTGGAAAAACTATGTGAAAAAAGAAAGGCCAAAACGTCCTCTTTTTTTCTTTAGAGAAGGGTCTTTCGTTGTGTGGCCCAGGCTGGTGTGGCACAACCATAGTTCACAGCAGCCTTGAAATCCTGGGCTAAAACAATCCTCCCACTTCAGCCTTCTAAGTAGCTGGCATGCACCACCACACCCAGCTAATTTCTAAATTTTTTTTAGAGGTGATTTATTGCTGAGGCTGGTCTCAAACTCCTGGCCTCAAGCAATCCTCCAAATTCAGCTTCCCAAAGTGCTGGGATTACAGCATGATTCACTGCACCCAGCCTAAAATTGTCTTTTATATTTTTAAAATTTCTTTAAAGGACAACTGTTTAAAGCAAAAACAAAAATATTGTATTGTGAGATTTTACAACACTCATAAAATATAAGACTATCGTAGCACAGAAGACAATATTGAGGGTGTAAATGGAATCATACTGTTGTGAGAGTTTTACATTTTTCATAAAATGATACAATATTAAGGCCGGGCGCAATGGCTCATGCCTGTAATCCCAAAGCTTTGGAATTACAAACGAGGTCAGGAGATCGAGACCATCCTAGCCAACATGATGAAACCCCATCTCTACTAAAAATACAAAAATTAGCCGGATGTGGTGGCACACACCTGTAGTCGAAGCTACTTAGGAGGCTGAAGGAGGAGAACTGTTTGAACTTGGGAGGCAGAGGCTGCAGTGAGCCAAGATCGCTCCACTGCACTCGAGCCTGGTGACACAGCAAGACTCTGTCTCAAAAGAAATAAAAATAAAAAATGGCCACAAATAAGTACTAGAAGATATATACTTGAAAATGGCTGAGAAAGTAGTTTTTAAGTGTTCTCACCACAGAAAAAAAAAGTATGAGAGGTAAGACATATGTTAATTAGTTTGATTTAGCCATTTCACATATTCTACAAATTTCAAAACATCATGTTGTACACCATAAATATATATAATTTTGTAAATTAAAAAAATAAATTTAGGCTGGGCGCAGTGGCTCATGCCTATAATCCCGGCACTTTGGGAGGCTGAGGTGGGCAGATCACCTGAGGTCAGGAGTTCAAAACCAGCTTGGCGAACAAGGTAAAACCCCGTCTCTACTAAAAATACAACAATTAGCCAGGCATGGTGGCACGTGCCTGTAGTCCCAGCGACTCGGGAGGCTGAGGCAGGAGAATCACTTGAACCCGGGAAGCGGAGGTTGCAGTGAGCCGAGATCATGCCACTGCACTCCAGCCTGGGCAACAGAGTGAGACTCATCTCAAAAAAAAAAAAAATACAAAATTGAGCCAGGCGTGGTGGTACGCGCCTGTAATCCCAACTACTCAGGAGGCTGAGACATAAGAATTGCTTGAACCTCGGAGGTGGACCCAAGATTGCGCCACTGCACTCCAGCCTGGGTGACAAAGCGAGACTGTCTCAAAAGGAAAACAACAAGAAAACACACCATGGGTGAGACCCCATCTCATATAAATAAATAAATACACAATGATCCCTACTGTTTGGGAGGCTGAGACAGGAGGATCACTTGAGCCCAGGAGTTCCAATTCCTCCTGGGAAACACAGTGAGACTCTGTCTAATAAATAAATAAATAAATAAGCCATGACAAGTCCAGAAAGATCTTGAAAGAAAGGAAAAAGCTTTAAATGTTATTACCTTTTTTTTTTTTGAGAGGGAGTCTTGCTCTGTCCCCCAGGCTAGAGTGAAGTCCGCCTCCCGGGTTCACACCATTCTCTTCCTCAGCCTCCCGAGTAGCTGGGACTACAGGCACCCGCCACCATGCCCGGCTAATTTTTTGTATTTTTAGTAGATATGGGGTTTCACGGTATTAGCCAGGATGGTCTCAATCTCCTGACCTCGTGATCCGCCACCTGCCTCGGCCTCCCAAAGTGCTGGGATTACAGGCGTGAGACACCGTGCCTGGGGGCTATGTTATTACTTTCAACAGCACATTTTTTGCCAGGCACGGTGGCTCACGCCTGTAATCCCAGCACTTTGGGAGGGCGAAGCGGGTGGATCATGAGGTCAGGAGTTCGAGACAAGCCTGGCCAGCATGGTGAAACCCTGTCTCTACTAAATATAGAAAAAAATTAGCCAGGCATGGTGGCACGCGCCTGTAGTCCCAGCTACTCTGGAGGCTGATGCAGGAAAATTGCTTGAACCCAGGACGCAGAGGTTGCAGTGAGTGAAGATCGCGGCACTGCACTCCAGCCTGAAGATTGCAGCACTGCACTCCAGCCTGGGTGACAGGGCGAGACTCCATCTCAAAAAAAAAAAAAAAAAAAAAAAAAAAAAAACAACCAAAAAACCAGCACATTTTTTTCCCCTGCCTTTTGTACAAAGGTCCCTGCATTTTCATTTTGCACTGAGTCTCAAAAATGACACAGCCAGGCTAGGCGTGGTGGTTCATGCCTGTAATCCCAGCACTTTGGGAGGCCAAGGCAGATGGATCATCAGAGGTCAGGAGTTCGAGACCAGCCTGGCCAACACAGGGAAATCCCATCTTTACTAAAAATACAAAAATTAGCCGGCCATAGTGATGCATACCTGCAATTCCAGCTAGCTGGGAGGCTGAGGCAGAAGAATAGTTTGAACTTGGGAGGCAGAGGTTGCAGTGAGCAGAGATTGCACGACTACACTCCAGCCTGGGTGACAGAGTGAGCTATCTCCAAAAAAAAAAAAAAAAAAATTACACTGCCAGCCATAGGCACTGCCAAAAGAAAAACCCTGGGATCTCTGCTTCTGAGTGAAGTAAAAGGAAAAAAAAACCTAGGTGAGATAGCAGTCCTGTTTATCTAGCTTTAGTACAAGATGTATTAACAGCAACATGTACCTGGTCATGCCAAAAACCAATGTTCAAGTTTTTTAAAAAATTTGCCTTAGTCCATTCTAGTCTTTTTTTTTTTTGACGGAGTTTCACTCTTGTTGCCCAGGCTGGAGTGTAATGGCACGATTTCGGCTCACTACAACCTCTGCCTCCCGGGTTCAAGTGATTCTCCTGCCTCAGCCTCCTGAGTAGCTGGGATTACAGGTGCCCGCTACCATACCCGGCTAATTTTTGTATTTTTAGTAGAGATGGGGTTTTGCCGTGTTGGCCAGGCTGGTCTCGAACTCCTGACCTCAGGTGATCTGCCCGCCTTGGCCTCCCAAAGTGCTGGAATTACAGGTGTGAGCCACTGTGCCCAGTCTAGTCTGAGTTTTTATTTTTATTTTTATTTTTATTATATTTATTTATTTATTTTATTTTATTTTTTTGAGACAGTTTCGCTCTTGTTGCCCAGGCTGGAGGGCAATGCACAATCTCAGCTCACTGCAACCTCCGGCTCCTGGATTCAAGTAATTCTCCTGCCTCAGCCTCCTTAGTAGCTGAGATTACTGGCATGTACCACCACGCCCCGCTAATTTTGTATTTTTAGTAGAGACAGGGTTTTACTATGTTGGTCAGGGTAATCTGGAACTCCTGACCTCAGGTGATCCACCCGCCTCGGCCTCCCAAAGTGCTGGTATTATAGGCGTGAGTGACCGCGCCCAGCCTATTTTTATTTTTTGAGATGGAATCTCATTCTGTCTCCCAGACTAGAGTGCAGTGGTGTGATCTCAGCTCACCGCAACCTCCACCTCCTGGTGCAAGTGATTCTCCTGCCTCAGCCTCTTTAGTAGCTGGGATTACAGGTGTGTGCCACCATGCCCAGCTAATGTTTATATTTTTAGTAGAGACAGGGTTTCTCCATGTTGGCCAGGCTGGTCTCAAACTCCTGACATCAAATGATCTGCCCGCTTCGGCCTCCCAAAGTGCTGGAATTATAGGCGTGAGCCACTGCGCCTGGCCTATTTTTATTTTTTGAAACAGTCTTGCTCACCAAGACTGGAGTGCAGCAACACGGTCATAGCTCACTGCAGCCTTGACCTAGGCGTAAGCAATCCTCCCTTCTCAGCCTTCTGAGTAGCTGAGGCATGCCACCACGCCCAGCTAATTAAAACAATTTTTTTTTGGTAGAGATGGGAGTGTCACTATGTTGCTCAGGTTGGTCTGGAGCTCCTGGCCTCATGAAATCCTTGCTCCTCGACCTCTCAAAGCATTAGGGTTACAGGCCTGAGCCACTACGCCTGACCTTAGTCTGAGTTTTAAAAACTTATTTTAAAACTCATAAGAGAGGCCGGGCGCAGTGGCTCAGGCCCATAATCCCAGTATTTTGGGATGCTGAGGTGGACGTATCACCTGAGGTCAAAAGTTCGAGACCAGCCTGGCCAACATATTGAAACCTCGTTTCTACTGAAAATACAAAAATTAGCTGGATGTGGTGAAACACAGCTGTAGTCCTAGCTACTCGGGAGGCTGAGGCAGGAGAATTGCTTGAACCTGGGAGGTGGAGGTTGCAGCGACCCGAGATCGTGCCACTGCATTCCAGCCTGGGCGACAGAGCAAGACTCTGTCTTAAATAAATAAATAAATAAATAAATAAATAAATAAATAAATATCACAAGAGAAACACAGGCTCTCTGTAGTTAATTCAAACAATTCCTAATGAAGTGCTAAGTGAAAATTTCCTTTTGCTATTCAGTGAAATCCCTCATCCCTCCCAGAAGTCACAGCAGCTAGTCTGTGGTTCTGTGCCCTTGTCTAGGGAGGTGATAACTGAGGCTCAGCAAGGGGAAGTGAGCCATCCGCAGTCACCCAGGTAGCAAATGGAAGAAATGGAACTTGCACCTGGATAGGATGAGTCCACCCTTGCAAGGTGCGTGTTTCCTCCATGCATTCGGCAGACCCATTAACAACACAACACATATAATGAGTGTGTCTGGCCCAGATTCAGCTCCTTAATGACAGGCCTCCCAGTCTGTGTGGGAAATCCCAACCGGATATTAATTTCACCACCATCAATGGACTTCATAATATTTTTGTTTTAAAAAATGATGACTGCGAGCAAAGAGATCAAATACATTATTAGTTCCTGTGATCTCAACTCTCAGATGAATTCATGCAATTTAGTGCCTCCTAATGCAGTCAAATACAAATTCCTAAGCCAGCTGTGTCAGAAATAATAGATTTCTAAATGAACTTGACTGATACAAACACAATACTAGGGGCAGAACCTACTAGGGAAAGATGATATCTGATTATCTTTGGACTTTCCAGGCCTGGCAGTGGCTCGATCAAGGTAGGTGCTCAATATATTGACTGGACTGAATTAGTGTGCACAAATGCTTCTAGTCCTGATGCTCTTAAAAAGAAAAGACAGGCCGGGCGTGGTGGCTCACACCTGTAATCCCAGCACTTTGGGAGGCCGAGGCGGGCGGATCAGGAGGTCAGGAGATCGAGACCATCCTGGCTAACACGGTGAAACCCTGTCTCTACTAAAAAACAGAAAAAATTAGCCGGGTGTGGTGGCGGACGCCTGTAATCCCAGCTACTCGGGAGGCTGAGGCAGGAGAATGGCGTGAACCCAGGAGGCGAAGCTTGCAGTGAGCTGAGAGTGCACCACTGCACTCCAGCCTGGGCGACACAGTGAGACTCCGTCTCAAAAAAAAAAAAAAAGAAAAGAAAAGCCAGGCACAGTGGCTTACACCTGTAATCCCAGCACTTTGGGAGGCCAAGGCTGGTGGATCACCTGAGGTCAGGAGTTGAGACCAGCCTGGCCAACATGAGGAAACCCCATCTCTACTAAAATAATACAAAAAATTAGCTGGGCGTGGTGGCGGCTGCCTGTAATCCCAGCTACTCAGGAGGCTGAGGCAGGAGAATCGCTTGAACCCAGGAGGCAGAGGTTACAGTGAGCCAAGATCGCGCCATTGCACTCCAACATGGGCAACAATAGCAAAACTCTGTCTCAAAAAAAAAAAAAAAAGAAAGAAAGAAAGAAAAAGAAAAGACAGCCCAGTTTTTTCTGGGGCTTCAGTGGAAGAGAGTGAAGCCCCACCTCCATTTATGAAGATGCTTTTCAGGTTAGCAGCCATGAAACAAAATAATCATATCAGGAAGAGCCCTCATGTTATGAAGTATCTGCCCAGTTCATAGCAATGCACATTTTCTTCTATCAAATTAAAAAAAAAATTGGTCTGGGCAGGGTGGCTCACAACTGTAATCCCAGCACCTTGGTAGGCCGAGGCAGACAGATCACCTGTGGTCACGAGTTCAAGACCAGCCTGGCCAACGTGGTGAAACCCCATCTCTACACAAATACAAAAATTAGCTGGGCATGAGGGCGAGTGCCTGTAATCCAAGCTACTCAGGAGGCTGAGGCAAGAGACTCGCTTGAACCCGGGAGGCAGAGGTTGCAGTGAGCCAAGATTGCACCATTGCATTCCAGCCTGGGCGACAGAGTGAGGCTCTGTCTAAAAAATAAAATAAAAAATAAAAATAATTGTTTTTTGTCCAGGCACAGTGGCTCATGCCTGTAATCCCAGCACTTTGGGAGGCTGAGGTGGGTGGATCACCTGAGGTCGGGAATTCAAGACTAGCCTGACCAACATGGAGAAACCCTGTCTCTACTAAAAATACAAAATTAGCCGGGCGTGGTGGCACATGCTTGTAATTCCAGCTACTCAGGAGGCTGAGGCAGGAGAATCGCTTGAACCCAGGAGGCAGAGGTTGCAGTGAGCTGAGATCTCGCCACTGCACTCCAGCCTGGGCAACAAGAGTGAAACTCTGTCTCAAAAAAAAAAAAAAGAAAGAAAAGAAAAGAAACTGGGGAGCCAGAGAGCAGGCATGTTCTGGCCCCCCTGCATCTGTACCAGAGAAACAGAGCAGCTGATCATTGCATCCTCAGAAAAGCATGTCAGAGGCTGGGTGCAGTGGCTAATGCCTGTAATCCCAGCATTTTGGGAGGCTGAGGTGAGTGGATCACTTGAGGCCAAGAGTCCAAGACCAGCCTGGCCAACATGGTGAAACCCTGTCTCCACTAGAAATACAAAAATTAGCCAGGCATGGTGGTGCATGCCTATAATCCCAGCTACTCCGGAGGCTCAGACAGGAGAATCACTTGAACCTGGGAGGTGGAGTTTGCAGTGAGCTGAGATCGCGCCACTGTGCTCCAGCCTGGGCAACAGAGCAAGACTCTGTCTTGAAAAAAAAAAAAAAGAGAAAGAAAAGCAGAGACAAATGATGGAGAGAAAGGACTTCCTTGGTTTCAAAGTGCTCATATCCCTCCTTGCAGGCTTGCTGCCATTTCTGTTTATAGGTTCCAGGAGACACCTCTGTGTCTTTCAAATGAAGCTCTTTTTTACTTATGGAGGCACTTGAGTTGACTTTGTTACATGCAACCAAAAGAGTTCAACTGCTTCCCGGGGTTCCTGACTCCTTCCCATGTATCCTTCCAGGCCCCGCTGAGGCCCTATTACTTTTGGGTCCTGTAGACGTGACAGTGCCCTTCTGGTAAATTCATTTTCTGTTCACTTAAGCTAATTTGAATAGGTCCTTGCTGTTTGTTTCCAAAAGAGCTTTGACTAAAACAACACATCTGCACCCGTGAAGGCATGAACATATGCCTGTATATATGTGGAATTCAACATTGTCACCAAGAATGCCAGCCTCATTCAAGATACTGCTGTGTCTGTATTTCCACTTACGGCCTCTCTGGCCCCTTGCACAGTATTTAGATATCACATGTTCATGGCTAGGAGAACGAAGGAAGTGACTGGGGGATTTCCCCTAAGGAAGCAGAGGACAGTATTTGGGGAGATATGGGTTTCAGAGTCATGACTCTACACCTTAGATTCAGACTTTGGACACATCCTACACCTTCCTTTAACCTCAGTATGCACATCTCTAAAATATAAATAATAGGGCTGGGCTTAGTGGCTCATGCCTGTAATCCCAGCAACTCTGGAGGGTGAGGCGGGAGGATCGCTTCGGTCCAGGTGTTCATGACCAGCCTGGGCAACATAGTGAGACCCCGTCTCTACTAAAAATATAAAAAATTAGCTGGCTGTGGTTCTGTGTGCCTGTGGTCCCAGCTACTCAGGAGGCTAAGGTGGGACAATCACTTGAGTGCAAGGTGGGGCAGAAGTGGCAGTTAGCTGAGATCACTCCACTACACTTCAGCCTAGGCAAAAGAGCAAGACCCTCTCTTTCAAAAAAAAAAAAAAACAGTAAAGAACTATCATTTTTATTTATTTATTAAAACATTTTTTTTTCTTAGACGGAGTCTCACTTTGTCACCCAGGCTGGACTGCAGTGGTGTGATCTCAGCTCACCACAACCTCCGCCTCCCAGGTTCAAGTGATTCTCCTGCCTCAGTCTCCCAAGTAGCTGGGATTACAGGTATGCACCACCACTCCCAGCTAATTTTTGTATTTTTAGTAGAGACGAGGTTTCACCATGTTGGCCAGGCTGGTCTCAAACTCCTGACCTCAAGTGATCTACCCGGCTCGGCCTCCCAAAATGCTGGGATTAAAGGCGTGAGCCACTGCCCTCAGCCAAGAATTGTCATTTTTAAAGACTACAAGGTAAACCCATGGTTAGGTAGAAAAACCTGGAAATAGGCCAGGTGTGGTGGCCCATGCCTGTAATTCCAGCACTTTGGGAGGCCAAGGCTAGTGGATCACCTGAGGTCAGGAGTTCAAGACCAGCCTGGCCAACCTGGTGAAACCCTGACTCTTCTAAAAATACAAAAATTAGCTGGGTGTGGTGGCAGGCTCCTGTAATCCCAGCTACTTGGGAGCCCGAGGCAGGAGAATCACCTGAACCTGGGAGGCGGAGGTTGCAGTGAGCCAAGATCGTGCCATTGCACTCTAGCCTGGGCGAGAGAGTGAGACTCCATCTCAAAAAAAGAAAGAAAGAAAAAAGAAAAAAAAGATAAAATCTGGAAATAAAGAAAAACATGGGCCAGGCATGGTGGCTCATGCCTGTAATCCTGGCACTTTGGGAGGTCGAGGGAGACAGATTGCCTGAGCTCAGGAGTTTGAGACCAGCCTAGGCAACACGGTGAAACCTGTCTCTACTAAAATATAAAAAATTAGCCAGGCATGGTGGTGGGCGCCTGTAGTCCCAGCTACTCGGAAGGCTGAGGCAGGAGACTGGCTTGAATCTGGGATGTGGGGATTGCAGTGAGCCAAGACTGCTCCACTACATTCCAGCCTGGGCGACAGAGTAAGACTCTATCTCAAAAAAAAAAAAAAAAAAAAAAAAAAAGGAAAACAATTAACCTGTGATTCGGTCCCGCAACTGAGCAACTGATAAGATTTTGTTACATATCTTCAAATATTTTTTCTATGCCTGTCTTATTTTATCCAGGCAAAACTGAGATCCTATTATTTGTATGGAGCAGCTCACTCTTTTATTTATTTGTTTTATTTTTTGAGATGGAGTTTCGCTCTTGTTGCCCAGGCTGGAGTGCAACGGCACAATCTGGGCTCACCACAACCTCTGCCTCCCAGGTTCAAGCTATTCTCCTGCCTCAGCCTCCCAAGTAGCTGGGATTACAGGCATGTGCCACCACACCTGGCTAATTTTTTGTATTTTGAGTAGAATCAGGGTTTCTCCATGTTGGTCAGGCTGGTCTCAAACCCCCGACCTCAGGTGATCTGCCAGCCTTGGCCGCCCAAAGTGCTGGGATTACAGGCATGAGCCACTGCACCTAGCCTGGTAGCTCACTCTTTTAATTCAACAATTTGTGAATCTCCTTTCTTCCTTCCTTCCTTTCTCTCTCTCTCTCTCTCTCTCTCACTTTCTCTCTTCCTCCCTCCCCAGCTCCCTCCCTTCCCTCCCCTTCTCCCCCTCCCTCCCTTTCCTCCCTTTCCTCCCTCCCTGCCTCCCTTCCTTCCTTCCTTCTTTCCTTCCTTCCTCTTTCCTTTTTTTTTTTTTTTTGACAGGGTCTCACTCTCTTGCCCAGGCTGCAATGCAGTGGCATGATCCTGGGCTCAAGGGAACCTCCCAACTGAGCCTTCCAAGTAGCTGCTCCTACAGACAAGAATTAAGGGAGGATTGCTTTGAGCACAGGAGGTGGAGGCTGCAGCGAGCCATGATCGCACCACTGCACTCCAACCTGGGTGACAGAGTGAGACCCTATCACAAGAAAAAAAAGAAAAAGAATATAAATACCTCATACCGTTTGAATTTGGAATCTGTGAAGTTATTATCTAGTCAAAGGAATAGATGAATGAAAGGCTTCAGAGAGGAGCTGAAATCGGATCCACTGTTGAAAAAATAAGCAGAACTTTTTTTTTTTTTTTTTTGGTAGAGAAAAAAAAGCCTTTTTATGTTGCCCAGCCTGATCAGGAACTCCTGGCCTCAAGGGTTCCTCCCTGGTCAGCCTCCCAAAGCACTGGGATTGCAGACATGAGCCACCATACCCAGCCAAGACTTTTTTTTTTTTTTTTTTTTTTTTAAACGGAGTCTCCCTCTGTCGCCCAGGCTGGAGCGCAGCGGCGTGATCTCGGCTCACTGCAAGCTCCGCCTCGTAGGTTCACGCCATTCTCCTGCCTCAGCCTCCCGAGTAGCTGGGACTACAGGCGCCCGCCACCACGCCCGGCTAATTTTTTGTATTTTTAGTAGAGACGGGGTTTCACCGTGTTAGCCAGGATGGTCTCGATCTCCTGACCTCGTGATCCGCCCCCCTCGGCCTCCCAAAGCGCTGGGATTACAGGCGTGAGCCACCGCGCCTGGCCTTTTTTATTTTTTGGAAGAGAAATATGTAGGGAAAGGGAATTGCCCCAGGTGTAGCAGCAAGAATTACAAAATAGATTTATGTATCTTGAAAAAGGCCCAAAGTCAGGAGCTGGCAATTGACAAAGCTAGGATTTGAACCCAGGCCTGTCCAGCTCCTAGGGGCTCACAGTAACCACTGGCCCTTTTGCAGGAATCTGGGTTCTCTAGGACTTGGGGCAGGCCACTTTCTCCTCTGGGTCTATAAAATGGAGAAATTCAACTAGATGATACTTCAGCCTCTGTCCATGATTACTTGCTGTGGATCCAAGTTCTGATTCACTGCAATTTATTTGTCAGCCACCTGGGTCTGCTGGACCGGATAAGCCTGCCAAGGGTGGGGGACTCTGCTGAGGTTTCTAGGAATTGCTAAGAGAACTCAGAGTTTCTGGAGGCTATAGGCAACTTGTGCTGAGGCCCAGGCCCCATCTCAGAGCACTCCTCTCGTGGAGGTATGGCCTGCAGCCTCAAACTATTTGACCCTGCTGCCCAAGGTCATACATTACATCCCATCGGCAGAGAAGGGCCCACTTGGGAACACTGGGAGCAATTTCCAGGCACATAAAATGGCAAATGGCTAGTCAGAGGACTCCTCCAAGTACAGCCACTCCAGGGGTGATAAACTGGGGACTGGCAGCCCACTCTGGCCCACTGGCCTGCTCCACTTGACCAGCATAATGTTTATGGGAAATTTTAGACTAGTTGCCAAACATTTAAAAATGGATTTCCAGATTCTTGTGAAAAACCAGAAAACCTGATGGCACTAGGCCCTCATTCCCGTGACTGGCTTGTCAAAGGAAAATACAAATCTTCGGACCCCGAAATCACTAGGCCAAAAGGAAAGCCAAGCTGGGGCCAGGCATAGTGGCTTACGCCTGTAATCCCAGCACTTTGGGAGGCCAAGTTCAAGATCAGCCTGACCAACAGGTTTAGTAGAAACCCTGTCTCTACTAAAAATACAAAAATTAGGTGGGCATGGTGGCGGGTGCCTATAATCCCAGCTATTTGAGAGGCTGAGGCAGGAGAATCGCTTGAACCCAGGAGGTGGAGGTTGCAGTGAGCCGAGATCGCGCCACTGCACTCCAGCCTGGGGAACAAGAGCAAAACTCCATCTCAAAAAGAAAAAAAAAGAAAAGTCAAGCTGGGTACTATGTCAGGCAAACCTACTTCCAACTTTATTCCTAAATAAGATAGCTACAAAGATACAAAAAAGCTACATACCTCCCGCCGCACAATTTGCCCATAAGGAAATTTCTTGTGAGCCTCAAGATCTTTACCTCCTGACTTTGGGCCTTTTTCAAGATAAATAAATCTGTTCTGTAATTCTTGCTGCTACACCTGGGGCAATTCCCTTTCCCTACATCTTTTTTTTTTTTTTTTTTTTTTTGATATGCTGTCTTGCTCTCTCACCCAGGCTGGAGTGCAGTGGCGTGGTCTCAGCTCACTACCAGCTCCGCCTCCTGGGTTCACGCCATTCTCCTGCCTCAGCCTCCTGAGTAGCTGGGACTACAGGCGCCCGCCACCACGCCCAGCTAATTTTTTCTGTTTTTTAGTAGAGACGGGGTTTCACCGTGTTAGCCAGGATGGTCTCGGTCTCTTGACCTCGTGATCCATCCACCTCAGCCTCCCAAAGTGCTGGGATTACAGGCGTGAGCCACCCCCACCCCCCGGCCCCTTTCCCTATATCTTTAGTTCAACAGAACTAAATCAGTTCTGTTGAATTTCACCTGGCAATGTAAAGAGATAGCTTATCTTCACAGGTGCCAGACAGAAAGTCATCCCTTTGCTCACCTGAGACAAATGCATATCTGATTGCTTCCTCTGCCCTACTGTTTATGTAAAAATGCAGATTCACTGAGCCAAACTAAATTGTGGATTCAGGGAAAAGCTGATCAAGGATTCAAAATAATGCAACCCTTTGGAGCCGGGCATGGTGTCTCACACCTGTAATCCCAGCACTTTGGCAGGCCACTGCAGGCAGATCACCTGAGTCCAGGAGTTCAAAACCAGCCTGGCCAACATGGAGAAACCCCGTCTCTCTACTAAAAATGCAAATTAGCTGGGTGTGGTGGCACGCGCCTGTAGTCTCAGATACTTGGGAGGTTGAGGCAGCGGGATCACTTGAACCCAGGAGGCAGAGGTGGCAGTGAGTGGAGATCGAGCCACTGCACTCCAGCCTGGGTGACACAGTGAGACTCTCTCAAAAAAAAAAAAAAAAAAATAGAATGCAACCCTTTGTCTCTCTTATCTACCTATGACCTGGAAGCCCCTCCTTCCAGTTGTCCTGCCTTTCCAGAATGAACCAATGTACATATACACATATTGATTGATGTCTCATGTCTCCCTAAAATGCATAAAAGCAAACTGCACCCCAACCACCTTGGGCACATGTCTTCAGGACCTCCTGAGGCTGTGTCATGGGCACGTCCTTAACCTTGGCAAAATGAACTTTCTAAATTGATTGAGATCTAAATCAGATACTTCTGGGTTCACAGGCTGGACTCTGGCTGCCCCCCTTTTTTTGTAGAGACAAGGGGCTCTCTATGTTGTCCAGGCTGGTCTCCAACTCCTGGGCTCCCTCCTGGGCCTCCTACAGTGCTGGGACTACAGGCCTGAGCTGCTGTGTCCAGCCTGTTTTCCCCTTTGCTGTGGTGCCTTCTTCAGCCCTGTAGTTCCCATTTGTGCCACACATCTCACCAAGTTACCCTGGCCCTTAGAAACACCTGAGTTTGAGACTCCTAATTTAGATCAATTCCCTTGTTTTACAGATGAGGAAACTGAATCATGGAGAAAGGAGGGGACTTAACTAGGGTCACAAAGACTGGAGACTTTGCTGGGCGTGGTGGCTCACGCCTGTAATTATCGCATTTTGGGAGGCTGAGGCGGGAGGATTGTTTGAGACCAGGAGTTCAAGACCAACCTGAGCAATATGGTGAGACCCTCTCTCTACAAAATAAATAAATAAATAAAAAATATAGTCAGGCATGGTGGCTCATGCCTGTAATCCTAGCACTTTGGGAGGCTGAGGTGAGTGGATCACTGGAGACCAGGAGTTTCAGACCAACCTGGCCAACATGGCGAAACCCCGTCTCCACTAAAAATACAAAAATTAGCCAGGCATGGTGGTGTATGCCTGTAGTCCCAGCTACTTGGGAGGCTGACGCATGCGAATCACTTGAGCCCAGGAGGTTGAGGCTCCAGCAAACTGAGATTGCACCATTGCACTCCAGCCTGGGCAACAGAGCAAGACTCTGTCTCAAAAAAAAAAAAAAAAAATTCAATGGTTAAAGGGTACAAAAAAATAGGATGAATAAAATCTATTTGATAACATAATAGGGTGACTATAGTCAATAATAACTTAATTGTACTTTTAAAAATAAAGAGTGTAACTGGATTGTTTGTATCTCAAAGGATAAATGCTTGAGGGGATGAATACCCCATTCTCCATGATGTGCTTATTTCACATTGGATGCCTGTATCAAAACATCTCATGTACCTGTAAATATATATACCTACTATGTACCACAATAATTTAAAAAAAATAAATAATTATTTGAGCTGGTAAGAATGATAAGAGCATAACAAAGCAAAAACTGAAGACTCCAGCTGTGTCCCAAGTCCCAGTCCTGCAGTTTTGTTTTGTTTTCATTTTTTTTTTTTTTTTCTGAGACGGAGTCTTACTCCCAGGCTGGAGTACAGTGGCTCGATCTCACCTCACTGAAACTTCCACCTCCCAGATCCAAACAATTCTCCTGCCTCAGCCTCCTAAGTAGCTGGGATTATAGGCACATGCCACCACGCTCGGCTAATTTTTGTATTTTTAGTAGAGACGGGTTTTCACCATGTTGGCCAGGCTGGTCTCGAACTCCTGGCTTCAAGTGATCCACCCTCCTCGGCGTCCCAAAGTGCTGGGATTACACGCATGAGCCACCACGCCTGGGCAGCCCTGCATTTCTTTTAGAGCACATGCCAGGAACCAGAAAACTAGGAATCCTTGTTCCTGATATGAAGGTTGAGAGCCGTCTTATGCGAAGTGCCTCACATAGAATAATATGTACCTCATATAGCACTTCCGATTGGGCTGGTGCCTCTAGAATCTTTTGTAACCTATCACTTCCTCCCCACCCTCACCCCAAGGGATTGTAACACACACACAGGTTTGGGAATCACCTGGCATTGAATATATTACATTCTCACCTAGAAAGATCCAGCTGTCAGAAAAGAAATACCCCAGGGCCTTTCTTCTTCACCAGTCAGAATTTTATTGTGGCATCCTGTAGGAAGCCTGCCCCCATGCCCCAGGCTAGGTCCTATCATATTTAATATGACTTCTGTAATTCCTGTGCTTCTTTCATCACAGCATTTAACACTGAATTGCAAACAACAACAAATAGCTGTCACTGATTAAGCATTTACGATGTGCATAATAATATTCTCATTCATTTCTATAAGAACCCCTTAGGCACCAGGCTTGGTGGCTGGCTGACTCCTGTAATCCTAACATTTTGAGAAGCCTAGGCAGGAGGATCACTTGAGCCTAGGAATTTGAAACCAGCCTGAGCAACTTAGTGAAACTCCATCTCTACAAAAAAAAAAAAAAAAAAAAAAATTTTTTACTGGGTGTGGAGCCACATGCCTATGGTCCCAGCTACTTGGGAGGCTCAGGCAGGAGGACTGCTTGAGCTAAGGAGGATGAGGCTGCAGTGAGCTGTAATCATGACATTGCACTCCAGCCTGGGTGACAGAGTGAGACCCTCCCTCAAATAAAGAACCTCTTAGGTTCTGGGCTGTTAAGTAAATTTGCCCCAAATTACAAAGCTGGAAGTGGGTTCAGAACCAAGCTCCACCTCAGTTGATAGAATTTGATTTTCAGGCCAGACTCGGTGGCTCATGCCTGTAATTTCCCACACTTTGGGAGGCTGAGGTGTGCAGATCACTTGAGGTCAGGGGTTCAAGACCAGCCTGGACAACATGGCAAAACCATGTCTCTACTAAAAATGGAAGACTTAGCCAGGAATGGTGCTGCATGCCTGTAATCCCAGCAACTTGGGAGGCTGAGGCACAAGAATTGCTTGAACCCGGGAGGCAGAGGTTGCAGTGAGCTGAGATCACTCCACAGCACTCCAGCCTGGGTGACAGAGCGCAACTCTGTCTCAAAAAAAAAGGAAAGAAAAGAAAAGAAAAAAGAAAGAAAGAAAAAGAAAAGAAATTGATTTTCAGAGACAAGTGAGGCCCCAAACCTTGAGGATGCAGGCTGACTCTATCACCTTGACTCTCCAGGTTCTTCACATGAATCTTGCAAAGTCAGGTCTGCACAGGAGGGAGCTGGGGAGTCAACCCAGGAGGGAATCTCAAGGGGCTTGGAAGTGTTTTTGTGAATGTGGACTGTGGACTGCAACCTTCTGCTTGTATCTCCACCTACCCCTCACTCTAGCCTGGACCTGAGACAGATGACAATAAAACACTCCAAATTCCTGAGCTGGAATGGACCTGAGGCTCATTTAGCTAATAATTCTTTTTTTTTTTTCACTCTGTCACCCAGGCTGGAGTGCAGTGCAGTGGTTCAAACACAGTACACTGCAGCCTCAACCTCCTGGGCTGAAGCCATTCTCCTGGCTCAGCCTTTCGAGTAGCTGGGACCACAAGCTCATGCCTCCTTGCCTGGCTAATTAACAAAAAAATTTTTTTGTAGCCACACGGTCTTGCCATATTGCCCAGGCTGATCTTGAACTCCTGGGCTCAAGCAATCCTCTTGTCTTAGCCTCCCAAAATGCTGGGATTACAGGTGTGAGCCACCACACTCGGCTATGATTCTTCTTTTTATTTATTTATTTTTATTTTTTTGAGATGGAGTCTGTTGCCCAGACTGGAGTGCAATGGCACGATCTCGGCTCCCTGCAAGCTCCGCCTCCTGGGTTCACGCCATTCTCCTGTCTCAGCCTCCCAAGTAGCTGGGACTACAGGCGCCCGCCACCACACCCAGCTAATTTTTTGTGTTTTTAGTAGAGATGGGGTTTCACCATGTTAGCCAGGATGGTCTCGATCTCCTGACCTTGTGATCTGCCCCCCTCGGCCTCCCAAAGTGCTGGGATTACAGGGGTGAGCCACCGTGCCCGGCCCCGATTCTTCTTTTTATTTATTTATTTGAAACAGAGTCTTCGTCTGTCACCCAGGCTGGAGTGCAGTGGCGCAATCTTAGCTCACGGCAACCTCTGCCTCCTGGGTTCAAGCGATTCTCGTGCCTCAGCCTCCCGAGTAGCTGGGACTACAGGCACGCACCATCACACCCAGCTAATATATATATATATTTTTTTTTAGTAGAGGCTGGGTTTTGTCATGTTGGCCAGGCTGGTCTCGAACTCCTGGCCTTAAGTGATCTGCCCCACCCTCAGCCTCCCAAAGTGTTGGGATTACGGGCATAAACCGCCATGGCCGGCTCATAATTCTTATTTTAAATCTAAATTTTGAATTTCAGAATACTGTTGTTTTAAGCTCCTTTCCCCCACCAATCTACTTACCTCCCACCTCCAGTAGAAAACGCCTCATAAAAGCAGCACTCGTCGCCCCACAAGCTGTCTTTCTCCATTTCTAGTCCAGCATATGAAATCAGATTATCATATTAAAGCTTCTGGTATGTATGATGTGCAAAGACGTTCTTCTCAGTGCTATCTATAATAGCAAAGAAAATGAAAAAGGACACAACCTAAGTGTTCCACAGGAGAAACCGTTAGAGAATCAAGATCAAGATACAACCAATCATCCAGTCGGGAAGCTTTGCAGCCCGTGAAAATAAGATTTCTTTAATATTTACTTATTTTATTTTTAATTTTTATGTAATGACTTGAAAGGTACTCATGATATTATGGGTTCTCTATGGCTTTTCTTTTCTTTTTTTTTTGAGGCAGAGTCTTGCTCTGTTGCCCAGGCTAGAGTGCAGTGGTGCGATCTCGGCTCACTGCAACCTCCGCCACTGGATTCAAGCGATTCTCTTTTCCTCAGCCTTCTGAGTAGCCGGTATTACAGGTGTGCGTCACCACACCTGGCTAATTTTTGTATTTTTAGTAGAGACGGGGTTTCATCATGTTGGTCAAGCTGGTCTTGAACTCCTGAACTCATGATCCACTCGCCTCAGCCTCCCAAAGTGCTGGGATCATAGGTGTGAGCCACCACGCCTGGCCTCTCTATTGCTTTTCAAATGACAAAAGTAACTAGTTGCGTTGTAAAAATAAAACACTATATAAGTGTTTTTGTTTTTGTTTTTGAGACAGAGATTCACTCTTGTTGCCCAGGCTGGAGTGCAATGGCACGATCTCGGCTCACTGCAATCTCTGCCTCTCAGGTTCAAGCGATTCTCTTGCCTCAGCCTCCCAGGTAGCTGGGTTTACAGGCATGTACCACCATGCCTGGCTGATTTTTGTATTTTTAGTAGAGACAGGGTTTCACTATGTTGGTCAGGCTTGTCTCGAGCTCCTGACCTCAGGTGGTCCACCCACCTTGGCCTCCAGAAGTGCTGGGATTACAGGTGTGAGCCATCGTGCCTGGCGCCTCTATTGCTTTTCAAATGACAAAAGTAACCATTTGCGTTGTAAAAATAAAATAAAACACTATGAAAGTGTTTAAGATAAAAAGTGAAAGTGGCCCCAAAACACACTTACCTACAGTCCCAGTGTTAATCTGCAACATATTCATAATATACTGCTTCATTTAAGAAGCAGGAGAGGGCAGGTGTGGTGGTGGGTGCCTGTAATCCCAGCTACTCACTTGGCTGAGGTAGGAGAATTGTTCAAGCCCACAAGTTCAGGTTGCAATGAGTTATGAACTCATCACTGCACTCTACCCTGGGCGATAAAGTGAGACACTCATTTCTTAATGTAAAAAAAAAAGCATATATTCATTAGTAGTATTTTTAACAACAGTGCATTGAAACTGAAAAAAAAAAGTCAAGATGAAAATATACCAACATTTGGCCAGGCACAGTGGCTCACGCCTGTAATCCCAGCACTTTGGGAAGCTGAGGCAGGTGGATCACCTGAGGTCAAGGAGTTCAAGACCAGCCTGACCAACATGGTGAAACCTCATCTCTACTAAAAATACAAAACTTAGCTGGGCATGGTGGCAGGCGGGAGGGTGAGGCAGGAGAATCACTTGGACCTGGGAGGTGGAGTTTGCAGTGAGCTGAGATGGCGCCGTTGCACTCACTCCAGCCTGGGCGACAAGAGCAAAACTCCATGAAAAGAAAAAAACAGAGAGAGAGAGAAAAAGGAGGAGGAGGAAAAAGAAGAAGAGGAAGAGGAAGAAGAAGGAGGAGGAGGAGAAGGAAGAAAGAGAGAAAGAAAGAAAGAAAGAAAGAAAAAAAGAAAGAAAAAGAAAGAAAGAAAGAAAGAAAGAAAGAAAAAGAAAGAAAGAAAGAATATACCAACATTTTAGTACTTCTATTTAAGTGGTGAGACACTATGGATAATTTATTATCGTTTCCTCTGCTTTGCCTCATTTTCCAAATTATATTTGATGGAGAAAATAAACATTAAAAAGAAAAATAAGGCTGGGCACAGTGGCTCACGCCTGTAATCCCAGCACATTGGGAGGCCAAGGCGGGCAGATGGCTTGAGCCCAGGAGTTTGAGACCAGCCTGAGCAACGTAATGAAATCTTTGTCTCTACAAAAAATACACAAATTAGCCGGGCGCAGTGGCACACGCCTGTAATCCCAGCACTTTGGGAAGCCGAGGCGGGCAGATCGCTTCAGCCTAGGAGTTTGAGACCAGCCTGGACAACATGGTAAAACCCCTCTACAAAAAGTATAAAAGTTAGCCAGGTGTGGTGGCTGACACCTGTGGTCCCAGTCACTCTGGAGGCTGAGGAGGGAGGATTGCTTGAGCCAAGGAGGTGGTAGAAGCTGCGGTGAACCGTGATGGCACCACCACACTCCAGCCTGGGTGACAGAGCAAGACCCTGTCTTTAACAAAAAATAAAAATAGGCTGGGCTTGTGCTCACGCTCACGCCTGTAATCCCAGCACTTTGGGAGGCAGAGGTGGGCAGATCACCTGAGCTTAGGAGTTGGAGACCAGCCTGGCCAACATGGTGAAACCCTGTCTCTATCAAAAATACGAAAATTAACCAGGCATGGTAGTGCACACCTGTAGTCTCAGCTACTCGGGAGGCTGAGGTGGGAGGATCGCTTGAGCCCCAGAGGCAGAGAATGCAGTGAGCTGAGATTGTGCCACTGCACTCCAGCCTGGTTGGCACAGCAAGACCCTGTCTCAAAAAATAATAAAAATAAAAACAGCTGGGTGCAGTGGCTCACGCCTGTAATCCCAGCACTTTGAGAGGCTGAGGTGGGTGGATCACCTGAGGTCAGGAGTTCGAGACCAGCCTGTCCAACCAGTGAAATCCCATCTCTACTAAAAATACAAAAATTAGCTGGGGGTGGTGATGGGTGCCTGTAATCTCAGCTACTTGGGAGGCTAAGACAGGAGAATCACTTGAACCTGGGAGGTGGAGGTTGAAGTGAGCCGAGATAGCATTACTGCACTCCAGCCTGGGCAACAGAGTGAGACTCCGTCTAAAAAAAAAAAAAAAGAAAGAAAGAAAAAAAATTATCTGGACATGGTGGCATGTGCCTGTAGTCCCAGCTACTCAGGAGGCTGAGGCAGGAGAATTGCTTGAACCTGGGAAGCGGAGGTTGCAGGGAGCTGAGATCATGCCACTGCACTCCAGCCTGGGTGAAAGAGCGAGACTCTGTCTCAAAATATAAAAAATACAAAAATTTTTAAAAATAAAATTAAAAAATAAAAGTGTGTGGCACCTACTCTCACTTGCTCCTGTTTTCACCATGTGACTTGCCTGATCCCCCTTTGCCTTCTGCCATGATTGAAAGCTCCCTTAGTCTTCACCAGAAACTGGGCAGATGCCAGCACCATGCTTCTATAGAGCCTGCATAACCATGAGTCAATTAAACGTCTTTTCTTTTCTTTTTTTTTTTTTTTGAGATGGAGTCTCAGTCTGTCACCCAGCCTGGAGTGCAGCGATGCGATCTTGGCTCACTGCAACCTCCACCTCCCAGGTTCAAGTGATTCTCCTGCCTCAGTCTCCCGAGTAGCTAGGACTACAGGTGCCCGCCACCACGCCCAGTTAATTTTTTATATTTTTAGTAGAAACGGGATTTCACCATGTTGGTCAGGCAGGTCTTGAACTCCTGACCTCAGGTGATCCACCCACTTCGGCCTCCCAAAGTGCTGGGATTACAGGCTTAAGCCCCCGTGCCTGGCCTCTTTTTTTCTTTTTTTGAGACAGAGTTTCGCTGTTGTCACCCAGGCTGGAGTACAATGGTGTGATTTTGGCTCACTGCAACCTCCGACTCCTGGGTTCAAGCGATTTTCCTGCCTCAGCCTCCCGAGTAGCTGGTATTCCAGGCACACACCACCTTACCTGGCTAATTTTTGTAATTTTAGTAGAGACGGGGTTTCACCATGTTGGCCAGGCTGGTCTTGAACTCCTGACCTCAGGTGATCTGCCGGCCTCAGCCTCCCAAAGTGCTGGGATTACAGACGTGACCCCAAATATCTTGTCCCCACAGCATCTCCATTGCCCAGCACGGTGCGTGGCACAAATAAGACACCCATAAATACTTCTTGAATGAATAAATGAAAAAATCATTTTGGCTCTCAAATTGTCAGACATTTCACTAACCACCATTACAGCTAACCCAACATGGGAAGGACCTAGTGTTTTTATACACTGCTGTTGAATCAAATGTCACTCAGGAATCTCACCTAAAAGCTTAACTCATGCGAGCACTATGACTTTTTTTTTTTTTTTTTTTTTGAGACTGAGTCTCACTCTGTCACCCAGGCTGGACTGCAGTGGTGTGATCTTGGCTCACGGGCAACCTCCAGGAAGACCTTCAGGCACTTCTGGACATTAACTCTTTCTCTGTAATGTGCAGCTGATTTTCTTCAGTTAGACAGTTGCCTTTCACGTGTATGTATGTGTGTGGCCATGTTTCCTGCCCCCGTGTCACCAGCGATACCTTGACTCTCTCTCCTTCAGGTAATCAGGCACAAAAAAGAAAATCCTGGGGTGGGCACGGTGGTTCACGCCTGTAATCCTAGCACTTTGGGAGGCCGAGGCGGGCGGATCACTTGAGGTCAGGAGTTAGAGACCAGCCTGGCCAAAATGGTGAAACCCCATCTCTACTAAAAATACAAAAATTAGCCGGGCATGGTGGCGGGCGCCTGTAATCCCAGCTACTCTGGAGGCTGAGGTAGGAGAATTGCTTGAACATGGGAGGCAGAGGTTGCAGTGAGCTGAGATCATGCCACTGCACTGCAGCCTGGGCAACAAGAGCGAAATTCCATCTCAAAAAAACAAAAAAACAAAAAAATCCTCCCAGGTTAAAGTATAGAAATACAAACAATTACACATGAGGACTTTTTTTTTCCTTTTTGTGCCTGATTAATGAAAAGAAAGAGTGTTAAAGTCTCTGCTAGTGATGCAGAGGCAGGAAACATGGCCAATGATAAACCGTGGCCTACTGGGTCCCAGTCGGGCCTTGAAGACCACAGCACAGAGGGGCTGAGATAACTTGGACGGAGCAGGGAAGCAGGAACTGCTGAGCCTCTCCCTCCTGCAAGATCCTTGTGTAGCTGAAGGAGCTAGGCCTCCGTGTGAGGTGGAAGATTTGCCCACTCCTCCCAGTCATGAAGGAAACCCAACTGTCGAGAAAGAAAAGGGGTCCAAGGTGCTGGAGAAAGAACCTGGCTGTTGGAATCAGGGAGACCTGCGCTCAGTTTGGACCGCACAACCTTCACGAGGGCAGGCGTGGATGAACCAACTAACTTTCCAGTTGGCTCACCTATAAACAGGGGGCAATGGCTGGGTGTAGTGGCTCACATCTGTAATTCCAGCCCTATGGGAGGGTGAGGCATGAGGACTGCTTGAGGCCAGGAGTTTGAAACCAGCCTGGGCAACATAGTGAGACTCCATCTCTACAAACATTTGTAAAAATGATCTGGGCGTGGTGGCATAACCCAGAGTCCCAGCTATTCTGGAGGTGGAGGCGGGAGGATCACTTGAGTCCAAAGCATTCCAGACTGCAGTGAGCTATGATGGTGACAGTACATGCCAACCTGGGTGACAGAGACCCTGTCTCTGAAAAAACAAAAGGCAGGGACAATGATCCTACCCTCAGAGAGAGGCTATGGGGGTTAAATGAACCTCTGGCACTGTTCACCCAAAGCCAAACTATCAGCAAGGGCAGACCTTGAACTTGAACTTGTGTCTGTCTGGCTCCAAAACAACTCCATTCATGCTTGAAGTGCCATGATTGTTCAAGGAATGGTCTTGTTGCTATTGTTATTAAGAAGTTGAACAGCCCAGCATTGAAGTGAGCAAAGAAAGTCGGTTGGCTTCACATGCCTTCTAAGAAAGACTGATAAAGGCTAAAGGCGAGTGGGGCAGAAACTAGGGTGCCTCATTCCTGTGTTTCCCTCCATCTCCTCCTCCCATCAGGTCCTCAATAAAGCCTGGCAGCCTGGATTTGTGCTGAAAGCCCCTGGAGCAGGCAGAGGTACCTGCTATTCAGCATGCTTTGGGCCTTCCTCTCCCTTCCCTATCTGCTCATTCCTCAGTTTCCACACCAGTAAAATGGGAATCATCAGAGTAAGTGCCTCATAGGGTTGTTGTGAGGATTCCAGAGGGTAAACCAAGGAGTGCTCTCAGCACTATGGCTGGCACAGATAGTGCTTAACAAAGTTGTTATTATTATTATTATTTTGAGACGGTGTCTCGCTCTGTTGCCCAGGCTGGAGTGCAGTGGCACAATCTCCTCTCACTGCAACCTCCACCTCCCAGGTTCAAGTGATTCTCTTGCCTCAGCCTCCCGAGTAGCTGGGATTACAGGTGCATGCCACCACGCCTGGCTAATTTTTGTATATTTAGTAGAGACAGGGTTTCACCATGTTGGTCAGGCTGGTCTCCAACTCCTGACCTTGGGATCCACCCACCTCAGCCTCCCAAAGTGCTGGGATTACAGGCATAAGCCACTGTGCCCTGTCATTATTATTATTTTTGTTGTTGTTGTTGTTTTTGAGATGGAGTCTCGCTCTTGTTGCCTAGGCTGGAGTGCAGTAGCATGATCTCAGGTCACTACAATGTCTGCCTCCAGGGTTCAAGCCATTCTCCTGCCTCAGCCTCCTGAGTAGCTGGGACTACAGATGCCCGCAACCATGCCCCGCTAATTTTTTTTTTAGTAGAGACAGGGTTTCACTGTGTTAGGATGGTCTCGATCTCCTGACCTCGTGATCTGCCCGCCTCAGCCTCCCAAAGTGCTGGGATTACAGGCATGAGCCACTGCGCCCGGCCAATAATTTTTTTTTTTTTTAAAGAGAAATACACATATGTAGAAAAAGACCAGAAGGAAATGTTGGCAGCGCTCGACTCTTGGTGGTGAAATTACAGATCTTTATTTAATTTTTCTTCTTTGTGCTTTTGTGTATCTCCTACATTTTCCACAATGCACATAGCACTTTTACAATCAGGGAGTAACAACAAAAAATGCAATGTAAATCCTGAGAGGAGCTATCACCTGCATTTGGGCTCTTCCGGGGATGGTCCAGGGGAAGTGGATTTTAGCACAGCCTGGAAGGTTGGGAGAATGTGAACTAGGGAGAGGAGCCAGGTAAAGCCTTTTTTGTTCCTTGGTTTTTGTCTGTCTCCTCTAGACTACGGGTTCCTTGAGGGCAGGATCTGTGGTCTGGCTTGTTCACTGCTGTATCCCTAGCATCTTACAAAACAAAAGCCTGGTGCTTAGTAGGTGATCAATAAATACAAATCTAGTTAATGAATACATGACCTTGACAGCTCTGCTTAGCCTAGGAGACAAGGATATTCTCAGTTCGCTGTCCAGCTGGTCTGCTGCCAAAACTGAGGTGCATGGTTTCCATGGCAACAGAAGAGGGCCCGACAGGCCAGCAGCAGGAGGCAGATGCAGGGATTGTGAGCTCTGCATGTTTTCAAGGTGTGGCCTAGAAATCCGGAACATGGCGGTGGGTTCTTTCAATAGATGTTGAGAGAAAAAAAGCTTCATAAATACGGCTAACTCAGTTGTTCACCAGGCAGGTTTCTAAGTCAATTAATGAAAACTCGGGCAAGTAGTCGAGGTCTTTAAAGGTGACATGGGAGGCTCTTAGTGTTTGAAAGTCTAGGAACTCAGGAAAGTTTGGTTTTAGTCTGGATCCTGACTAAGGGTGTGACCCTGGGCAAGTTACTTAACCTCTCTGGGCCTCAGCATGCTCATTCATAAAATGAGAGGTTTGACCAGCACTAAAATTATTTATAAAAACATGTGTGGTAGGAATGCAAAATGGTACAGTCACTGTGGAAGAGTTTGGTGGTTCCTCAGTAAGTTATACATAGAACCATCATATGACCCAGCAATTCCACTCCTAGGTATACACCCAAGAGAACTGAAGATAGGCACTCAAATACATACTTGTGCACAAATGTTCATAGTTGCACTATCCATAATAACCAAAAGGCCACCAATGGATGAATGGATAAAGGTAGTATATCCATACAATGGTGTATCATTCAGCCAGTCATAAAAAGGAACAAAGTATTTATACATGCTACAACATGAATGAACCTTGAAAACATTACGTTAAGTGAAACAAGCCAGACTCAAAAGGTCACATACAGTATTGTATAATTCCAACTAAATAAAATATCCAGGCTGGGCATGGTGGCTTACGTCTGTAATCCCAGCACCTTGGGAGGCTGAGGTGGACAAATCACCTGAGGTCAGGAGTTCGAGACCAGTCTGGCCAACATGGCGAAACCCCATCTCTACTAAAAATACAACAATTAGCCGGGCACGGTGGCATGCGCCTGTAATCCCAGCTACTTGGAAGACTGAGGCAAGAGAACCGCTTGAACCCAGGAGGTAGAGATTGCAGTGAGCCAAGATCGCGCCACTGCACTCCAGCCTGGGTGACAGAGACTTCGTCTCAAAAAATAAATAAATAAAAAAAATATCCAGAATAGGTAAATCCATAGAGACAGAATGCAGATTGGTGGTTGCCAGGGGATGAAGGGAGAAGGGAATGGAAAGTGACTTCTTAACGTGTACGGAGTTTTCTTTTGGGGTGATAAAAATGTTTTGCAACTGGACAGACGTGCTGGTTGCACAACATTGTGAATGTACTAGGTGCTAGTGAATGATACATTTTAAAATTGTTAATTTTATGTCAGTTGAATGTTACCTAAAAAAAAAAAAAAAAGACATGTTCTGCAAGCATGCCTTAAGTTACATAATGGATTCCTAGGAGCCTGAGAGATGGGCAAGACTGAGAGTAATGGATGAAGTAGAGAGGTTACTCCCACCCCCACAATCACACTGCCAAGGCGACATTTGGAAAAAAGCTCCCAGGTGGGATCAGAACGGCGTCTGGACTGTCTCTGGCCACTTCCCCAAGGTGGGATCCTGGACCACTCTGGCTCCTTGAACCTCAGGCTTCCTATCTGCAAAACAGGGCTGATGCACGTTCCCTGTTTTCCTCAGAGCACCACCTTCTGAACCCACCTTCACCGGGTGAATCCGCTGGAATGGGGCCAGTCATGGCACCTTGTTTTCTAAGCATAGCAGACAGAGAGTCAGTTCCTGGTTCAAGTGGAGCCATGGACGGGTGACAGGTTTCAGAAGCCACTGGTGAGAAAGGGGCAGTTAACCAGTTTGAATCCTGGCTCCATCACTATCTGTGTGGCCTTGGGCAGGTCACTCACCTTCCCCAGTTCCAATGGTTGAATAGGAATATCTGTACCTACTATGGAGAAACGATGTGTGTATACACTGGACACTCAGAGCAAACCTCTTTTTCTTTTCTTTCTTCTTCTTTTTTTTTTTTTTGAAACAGTTTTGCTCTTGTTGCCCAGGCTAGAGTGCAATGGCGCGATCTCGGCTCACCGCAACTCCGCCTCCCGGGTTCAAGTGATTCTCCTGCCTCAGCCTCCCCAGTAGCTCGGATTATAGGCATGTGCCACCACGCCCGGCTAATTTTGTATTTTTTTTTTTTTTGAGACGGAGTTTCGCTCTTGTTGCCCAGGCTGTAGTGCAATGGCACGATCTCGGCTCACGGCAACCTCCGCCTCCCAGGTTCAAGCGATTCTCCTGCCTCAGCCTCTCTAGTAGCTGAGATTACAGGCATGTGCCACCACGCCCGGCTAATTTTGTATTTTTAGTAGAGACGGGGTTTCTCCATGTTGGTCAGGCTGGTCTAGAACTCCCGACCTCAGGTGATCCGCCTGCCTCGACCTCCCAAAGTGCTGGGATTACAGGCATGAGCCACTGCGCCCGGCCTAGTTTTGTATTTTTAGTAGAGATGGGGTTTCTCCGTGTTGGTCAGACTGGTCTCGAACTCCCGACCTCAGGTGATCCGCCCGCCTCAGCCTCCCAAAGTGCTGGGATAACAGGCGTGAGCCACCGCGCCCGGCCCCTTTCTCTTTCTCTGTGGATGTTCCCAGCAGCTCTCTCAAAAATAAAACGTGCCAGTTCCCAAAATCCGCCCAAGAAAGCTGTGGCTCAGAGAGGGAGGCACTAGCCTAAGGTGACAGTGAGTCTGGGCTTAGAACACAGATCTCCTGGCTTCGTGTCCAGGGAACTTTCTTCATGCCTCTAATTCATTCTCTCCAACAGGAGTTTGGCATGTACTATGCCCTAGAGCGGAGGTGTGCAGGACAGGTGCTGCTGTCCCTGTGCACAGGTTAAGAAACAGTTTAACTGAATCTCAGGGAGGCCAAGTGACTAAGCACCAGGACACGAAACCAGAAGGCAGAGGTCTCGATTTTGAACTCGGATCATCCGCCAGGGCAACGCCCGGAAGCCTCAGGGCGCGCGTGGCTGGGCGCGAGCTCGGCGCGCAGCGGTGGGAATCCCGAGCGGAGTTGGAAGCCGGGCCCGTTCATTTGCATGCTAATACCCAGAATGCTTTTCCCCCGCACACCGCTTCTCTTAATGGAAGCGCTCAGTTTGGAACCGTGGAAAGTTTGGAACACATACTTCGCTGCCTCTTTGCAACTGTGGGAACTTCCCGCCCGCACACGCGGCGCCTGCAGCCTGGGGCTCCGCGCCAGGCGGCCCAAAGGCAGCCGCCAGCGCTTCCTGGGAAGACAAACCTTGGTGTACAACTCTAGCGTGGTAGCATCCCCGGGCGGGCCGGGGACAAAGCGCCGAGGCCTGGCGGCAGGGCCCATTACCAGAGCACCCGGCGTCTCACAGGGCTGCGGGCGCTGGGGATGCTCCGGGCTTGGAGAGGCCTGAGGGTGTCCCCGACTCCTCCGGCACCCCCACTTCCCTGAGGATTGCTGGGGCTTCCGGGGGTCCCTGCCCCGTCCATCGCCCTCATATTGTCGCCTCCCGGAGCTGGTGACTTCACGCTCCCCGGGGACAAAGCTCGGCGTGCTGTGGTTTGGGGGAGAAGCTGGACGCTGGCTTCATCTCTCCAGCTCTTCCGGGCGCGCAGCCCATCAGATCGATCAATGTACCGGGTGCAGAAGCAGCTCCGGAGGTTCGGCCTGTCTCCGGCCAGGACCCCGGGCCCTCTCTGGTGTTTGAAGCAGGGAGGCGGTCGCAGGCGACTTCTGGGAATTTCACGCATGAAAGCGGGGCTCCGAAGGGTGGACGACGCCCGCTCGACCTGCGAGTGCGCTTCGCAGGCTGGGGGGCCCGGATCCGCACCCCTCAGTTCCTGCCCCCCCACCCTGCTAGCCGCCACTCTCAGCGGGCAGGGGAGGGGCAGTGGGAGCTGGTTTGCTGGCTCGGCGCTTCGTTTGCATTGGTCCGGGGGGGCTGAGACTGCAGCCCCCGGCCCCGCGGGCGGGGTGGGGAGGCGGGGGCCGGACGGGGGCTCAGGCTGCTCTAGCATTGGCGGATCTGGGGAATGGGGAGGGGGGGCAGGAAGCGGGGGGAGCGGACTGCGGGGGGGGGGTGTATAAATAGGGAAGGGGGGACGTGCATCCTCGTCTTGGTGAGGGGGGGGCGCTCGGCACAAAGAAAGTGTAAAGTTTGCAGCGCCAGGCGGCCCGGGCTAGGCATCCGGGCGCGCACGTGCAAGGCCGGGGACGCCGGGGCCCCCACTCTGAGCTCGCCGTTTCTTTTTTTTCTGCAAGCGAGAGGGGGGGTGTTGTTGGTATCGCCCCCTCCTTCTCCTCCCCCCAGGGGTGAAAGTGCAAGAGGAAGTGCAGCCGCTGCCATCTTTCCTCCGCTCCGAACACACGGAGCCCGGGGCCGCACAGCCGCCGCTCCGCCGCCGCCTTCTCCCGGCCTGAGGAAGGGCCTACTCTGCCGCCGCCGCCGCCCGCCCGCTCCAGCCGCCGCCGCCGCCGCCACCGCCCTCCAGGCTCCGGGACCCGGCCCGCGCCACCGCCCCCGTGCGCGCCCCGCCGCCGCCGCCTTCGCCTTCGCCTTTTGTTTCCTCCGCTCCGGCGCCCCCGCCCCGGCTCGCGCTTTGCAGGGGACGCAGCGCGCGCCCCCAGCGGGCCCGGGAAAAGCCGCGGCGCGCGCGCGCGCCTGCGCGGCGGACCCCTCCTTCTCCTCCCCGCGTGCGCGTGCCCTTCTTGGCTGCGCGCCGGCGCCGCCTGGCGGGCGGGAGGGGAGGTGGCAGGCGCGTTTGCAGGAGGGGCGCACCTCTTCGCTCGCGCACCCCCCCGGAAGGTAGACCGGGAAGGGGAGGCGGGCGGGCGGAGAGGAGAGAGTGGCGCGCAGTCCAGCGAGGGCGGGGGTTGGCTATGTGGGGGGTGGTGCACCCCGCAGTCTAGACAGTCTGATCCGGGCTGGGGGCGTGTACACTCGGCGCACCTGCGAGACTACAGAGCCTCGGGCCGGCACGTGTGGGGAGTGTGGACACGTCTGCTGCGCCCCGCTTCTCGCTGCTGAGGGGAAGGGAGGGGGCGGGCAGGTGCAGCGGCCGGGCTAGTGGGAGGGGGCGGCGGCCATGGAGCGGGTGAACGACGCTTCGTGCGGCCCGTCTGGCTGCTACACATACCAGGTGAGCAGACACAGCACGGAGATGCTGCACAACCTGAACCAGCAGCGCAAAAACGGCGGGCGCTTCTGCGACGTGCTCTTGCGGGTAGGCGACGAGAGCTTCCCAGCGCACCGCGCCGTGCTGGCCGCCTGCAGCGAGTACTTTGAGTCGGTGTTCAGCGCCCAGTTGGGCGACGGCGGAGCTGCGGACGGGGGTCCGGCTGATGTAGGGGGCGCGACGGCAGCACCAGGCGGCGGGGCCGGGGGCAGCCGGGAGCTGGAGATGCACACTATCAGCTCCAAGGTATTTGGGGACATTCTGGACTTCGCCTACACTTCCCGCATCGTGGTGCGCTTGGAGAGCTTTCCCGAACTCATGACGGCCGCCAAGTTCCTGCTGATGAGGTCGGTTATCGAGATCTGCCAGGAAGTCATCAAACAGTCCAACGTACAGATCCTGGTACCCCCTGCCCGCGCCGATATAATGCTCTTTCGCCCCCCTGGGACCTCGGACTTGGGCTTCCCTTTGGACATGACCAACGGGGCAGCCTTGGCAGCCAACAGCAATGGCATCGCCGGCAGCATGCAGCCAGAGGAGGAGGCAGCTCGGGCGGCTGGTGCAGCCATTGCAGGCCAAGCCTCTTTGCCTGTGTTACCTGGGGTGGACCGCTTGCCCATGGTGGCTGGACCCCTATCCCCCCAACTGCTGACTTCCCCATTCCCCAGTGTGGCATCCAGTGCCCCTCCCCTGACTGGCAAGCGAGGCCGGGGCCGCCCAAGGAAGGCCAACCTGCTGGACTCAATGTTTGGGTCCCCAGGGGGCCTGAGGGAGGCAGGCATCCTTCCATGCGGTCTATGTGGTAAGGTGTTCACTGATGCCAACCGGCTCCGGCAGCACGAGGCCCAGCACGGTGTCACCAGCCTCCAGCTGGGCTACATCGACCTTCCTCCTCCGAGGCTGGGTGAGAATGGGCTACCCATCTCTGAAGACCCCGACGGCCCCCGAAAGAGGAGCCGGACCAGGAAGCAGGTGGCTTGTGAGATCTGCGGCAAGATCTTCCGTGATGTGTATCATCTTAACCGGCACAAGCTGTCCCACTCTGGGGAGAAGCCCTACTCCTGCCCTGTGTGTGGGTTGCGGTTCAAGAGAAAAGACCGCATGTCCTACCATGTGCGGTCCCATGATGGGTCCGTGGGCAAGCCTTACATCTGCCAGAGCTGTGGGAAAGGCTTCTCCAGGTGAGGAAAGGCCCCCTCTTCCTCCCCTGCCACACGTTATCTTAGTCCTGAAAAGGCTCCTGCCAAGATCTGGGGGTGTGGGATTTGTGGGGGTCATTTGACCTTATAGAACCATGCCAGGTTTGGGTAGAGTGTTTTTAAGGGCCCTTATTTTGAGATGGTATGCCTGAGACCTGCTTTCCATTCCCTCAGGGAAGTTTTTTTGACGCTAAGTGTGCCCTACTGTCTCTCCTCCTGGGGCCGGATTCCTCAGGCCAGAGCCACCGGACCTCACCATTCTTCCCCCAGGGCTCCCTTTGTGTTTCCGGCACCAGGCGTGGGGCCCCCTCTGGGGGCGGGAGACTGGGCTCCTCCAGCGACTTCCCCGCTTGAATGGCTGCCGAGGGAGGTACTGGAACAAGTGCATCTGGGACTCCCTACACTCTTGAGGCACCAGATTCCCCAACACAGAACACTGGCCATCCTGATCAGTAGACTCCAGCTGTGCCTCTCACACCACCCTGGGATCATGGGACACAGAGCTGGTCACCCAGAGCTGCTGCTTAACACCAAAAGCTTTGATCTGCTCTGACCTGGTAGCTCTAGAGCCTAATGGGACCCACGAGCCCCTTTATGTTTTCAGGACAGAAAGGAATGGGGACAGGATCTCTATGTAGGTTCACTTTCTAGTTAGCCTGTTGGGGAACTGAGGACTTGTCTGGGAGCAGAGGGTGATTTTGTTTTTCTCCTAAAAGGCCGGTTTTAACCTGGATTGTAGGACCTTGTGTGTGTGAACACAGGGATGGAGAACTCCCTCAGAGGGCCCCGACCAGGAACCAGTCTTACCGGTCAGGCAGCCCCTGCCCACCTGCTCAGGCGGGCATCTGGCTTACCAGCCCAGCTGGGGACTTAAGGCTCCACTGCTGGCCTCTGGGGACTGAATTCCATCCGGGTGGCATTCATTGGCTGCCCGTGGCGGGAGAGGCTGGGGGAGGGGATTGCTGAGTTTCTAAGGGGCTTTAGTCTGGACAATGAATCACATATCCCCTCCTGGAAAGGCTGCAGTGAGGCAGCTCTGTTTCATTCTACTGCCACCGCCTCTGGTCCTAGAAAACACTGAGTTTCTGGTGGGGAGAATTGAGGGAGTGGGGAGGCAAAATCAGAGACAAATGCCCATTTCTCTTCCCCCCTCCAGAGAAAACCAGGGCAGAGAGGCCTGGGCCTGTGGAGCCAGAACTGGGTGGTGACTTTGTCTTTGTCATGCTGGGGTTGGGGAGAGGGAGTCCTTTCCAGCAGTGAGTGTGTGTGTGTGTGTACACACGTATGCATATGTGCCTGTGTGGTGGGGTCTGGCCAAGTTTCTAAAGTCCCTCTTGGTTCTCTCTTTTCCAGGCCTGATCACTTGAACGGACATATCAAGCAGGTGCACACTTCTGAGCGGCCTCACAAGTGTCAGGTAGGGGCTGGGTCAGGGCAGAGATGGGCTGAAGGAGATGATGCTGTTCTCACGGTCGCAGCCTTGAGCCAGCCGCTGCGTGTGCCGGGGGCCCGGCTGACCGCCCACCGCTTTGCACACCTCCCCTCTGTTCCTCCACCCTCCCTCTGCTCTCCTCCTTTGTTCTTCCCCCAGGCCCCCTTCCCCCACAGCTGACGTTCCTCCTTCCTGGTTGCTTGGTCCTGGTTCCCACCCTGTCTTTGCCTTCACTCTGTTGCTTGGCTTTCCTCTCCTGGTGTTTGCCGGCTCCTTGGATGGTGGGCCGTATCACACAGATGTTGTGTTGGGAGACCCGGCACTGCGCTGGGCCTGACTGTTGGTTTCCAGCAGTTTGTAGGGACTGCAGGTTTTTTTAAAAGGGCTCCTGGTGGTCCAGCCAACCACTCTTCCCCTTTTCTGACCTCAGTTAGAGCTCCTCCTGGGTCCCCTCAGCTTAGGGCACAAGGCAGTGGGGGAGGTAGGAGGTAGGGAGTGGGTGGTCCCCTCTCCCACACTGGCATCTGTTTAACCCATCCTAAGCCAGGGTTTCTGGAGGACTGGAGAGCAAAGTGGGCTCTTCTTCTTTTAGCTCTTTGCAAAGTAGCAGGTAGGAAACGCTGGACCAGATAGATTCTCACCCTTGGTTTACCTGCTTGAACAATATCTGGGGGCCCTGCTGGTACCCAAAAGATTGAGTTTCCTCTCCTGGCCACTGAGCCTTCCTGTGTGGATAGCGAACACACCTCTGTCTTCTCCTTGGTTATCTCCCCTCTCCCATGCCAAGTTCCCATCAAGTGAGGGCGAGCCATGATTGTGGGGTGTGCACTGCAGTCTCTGATAGGATAACCTGCTTCTCCTTATCCTGTTGGTGGCAAGGGGAGAGGGTTCAGGGAGACCAGCAGGGAGGGATGAATGTGCCGTAAGTAGGGCAGAGCCCCTGGGGGTCAGGCGTGGACGGTGTTCACAGGTGCTGGGCTAGGCAGTCTCCCTGGAGGATGACCCAGGGTGGGCCTGCTGGGATCTGTCTTTGCCTTGCTGCCTTCTCTCTCTCTGTCTCTGATTCTCTCATCACAGAGCACATTCTGACTCAGGTAGTGTGCTGATTAGCCCGGGCAGAGTAGGAGGAGCCCAGAGGGCAGTGGGGGCAAGCCCGGTGGCCTGGGGGGGTAACCTGCACTCTCTGCCCTTTTTCCAGGTGTGGGTTGGGAGCAGCAGCGGCCTGCCGCCCCTGGAACCTCTTCCTAGCGACCTGCCATCATGGGACTTTGCCCAGCCTGCTTTGTGGAGGTCGTCCCATTCGGTTCCTGACACCGCCTTTTCCCTTTCTCTAAAAAAATCATTCCCAGCCCTTGAAAACCTGGGCCCAGCACACTCCAGCAACACTCTCTTCTGCCCAGCCCCGCCGGGATATCTGAGGCAGGGCTGGACCACCCCAGAGGGCAGCAGGGCCTTTACCCAGTGGCCTGTTGGCTAGCCTGGGCCTCCCTGGAGAGGGTTGACAGTGGAAGGGAACAGGAGGGGCATTTGGCCTGAGACCCCTGCTTTTGGGAGAGGCTAGCAGGGTGGTTCCTGCCCAGCATGCCCAGCTCCTCCCTGGGTGACTCGGAGTCTTTCCCATGTCAGAGCCCCCAAATGGGGGTAGCAAGGAGCACCTTTCTGGAACCCCCTATAGCATCCAAGTTTCTTTCTGGGCTCTCTTGCCTTTTCCCCCCTTTCACAGATGGCACCCCTGGGCATCTGTCCTTGCCTAGGTGATTTTGGAGGTTGGTGCCTTCCTGGGAACTAGCCACCAGCTTATCTGCTTCCCTTCCCCTGGCATCACTTCCCATAGGCCTGGGGTTTCTAGACTGGGGCCTGGCCACCCCTTTCCCCACTCCACGAGTGAGTCGGCCTCCAGAGAAGACTGGCACAATTCCAACTAGAGTCAACCCATGCTGCCCTCTGCCCTTCCCACTCAGATCTAGATCCTGCTTTCATTTCTGGCTAGTGAAGTAGACTTTTGTGTTTTTGAGGTTTATTAGCAGGTCTGCTCAGGAACCAAACTAATGAGTAGCTTTATATTGGGCCACCCCAATATATGGCTTTGGGGGCTGAAAAAGCAGATGTAGACCCCCTCCCTCGGATCCTTATTGGTGTGCCCTTTAGCACTCCGCAGACTCTGCGGGGTGAACAGGAGTGATGATAAAATTTTTCATTCTAACATTTGAGGCTTTGTGTGTTTTGTCCTTGGTCTGTGTCATAACACTGACATCACTGTCCCTTGGTGTACAAATGCGCTCCTGCCCTGCCCCTCCCAACATACACTCTCACAGACCTGCTGGCCCCTCCTCCAGCCCTACAGCCACAACTCCCCTAACGGACCCAGCAGGTGAAGACATGCTGGCTCTCTTGCTCTGGGCTGGCCAGCCAGGTGTGCCTGGACTTGGTTAAACAGCAGGGGCACCTGTTGGCATAGTGTGGGGATGCTGAAAACATAAGAGGTGAAGAGACGGCTCTCTGGGAGTTCATTCCTTGAGTTCCCCACTGGCTAGGCACAGTCCGTATCGCTCATCCCCTCCTGATGCCAGAGAGAATGAAAGAGGCCAGTTACAGAGACTAGTGCCATAGCTTAAGTAGAAAGGCCATCTGAATGTAGGGGCAGGAAGCCTCAGGCTTGACAGTGGCATGTCTCTTTGGGACTTGGCCTGAGTGTCCTTAACTGGCCCAGATGCCCCAGGTACTGCTGGATTTATGAGCTTAGTGGGCTGGGACATTTCCCCCACATGGAGTTCAACCTGAAGCTGAGAGGCTGGAGCAGCTCAGACCTCCCTAGCTTCCACGGGCTCCACTTCTTGGGGGCTGGTTAGAGAAGGAATGCGTTGAGATGGGCATATGCTCGAGAAGAAGGGGGCCAAAGAGCCCAGGGAGCTGAACCTTCATGCATTGCCCTTAGAGTTTTCCAGGGCTGTGGGAGAAAGCTGCTTGAGACTACCCCTGAGGCTGCCTGAGTTCAAGGGCTACTAAGGGTGGGGGTGTGCACTAGTGCCCTTGGTACCACTTGGGCCCCATTCCCAAGCTGCTCAATCCTTAGGAAGAAAAGCTTTAGGAAGTCTGGGAAGGGAGCAGGACTGGGGCTCAGTGTTGAGTGGTGATGACCTGCACTCAGGGTGCCTGGGCCAGGACCTGGCAGGCATGGCCCTTAATTACAGCAGGCTGTCTAACTAAGCACAGGGCTGTGGGCCGGGCAGCTCTTCCGAGTGCCACAGGCAGTCAAAGCATTCTGCCTCTGGCTCACTCTCTTCCCATCAGCGTCCCTCTGTCTTCTCCCTGTCTCTAGGACAAAGAATGCTCTTCTCCTGACACCCCAGCATGGAAGTTCTGGATGTTCCCTTTGAGATCTGTCTCCCTCCGCCCCTTCTCTCCTGGGTTGTGTGACCAGGCTCTTTCATGTTCTGTGTTGTCTGAACTTCTGCTGTGCCTAGACTTTGGACTTTCACAGGCTCCCCAGAAAACCTGGGGACTGCAGCAGCAGAGGGTCAATCCTGGCACAGAGAAGCCAACAATCACTTCAGCTTGGCTTTGAACACAGGGAAAGCGTTTGTCATGTTTGTGTTTTTTCCCCCAGCAGCAGATTTACATTCCTAATTCTGTTTGCTCAGGCGAAAGTTAGCTTTCATTCCTTGAGAGATAATCAATGGAGGACAGGGTGGGGGAAGCCAGCCCAGTCTGGGATTTTAATTTTGCTTAGCTAATCCCCAAATGGATAAGCCACTTGTGGGTAACTGAAGTTTGGCTATCCATCATCTTTAGGTAGCAAAGCATGACAGGCAAAGCCTTTAGAGGACAGATCCCAAAAGAAGGTTGGCAAGAGAAACAAGGCATCTCTTTCCTATCCCTCTTGTGGCTCCCTCTCCCAGAGACTGTGGAAGACAAAATCCTGAATATGCTTTCAGCCCCCGAGTAGCTGGGACTACAGGCGCCCACCACCATGCCCAGCTAATTTTTTTGTATTTTTAGTAGAGACGGGGTTTCACCATATTGGCCAGGCTGGTCTCAAACTTCTGACATTGTGATCCACCCGCCTCGGCCTCCCAAAGTGTTGGGATTACAGGTGTGAGCCACTGCGCCTGGCCTCAGCCCTGTTTTCTTACACCTGATCCATGTTGGTTCCTTTGAGTTCTGAGGCTTAGAACACACCCTCTCTCACCATTGGAGGGGTGGTCTTTGGGTCGCTGCCTGGCAAAGCTAGCTCTTGTCCCCAAATAAATCAACAGGTGTACCTCTCTTTCCCGGGGGTGTTTATGCAGCCCCTGCTCTGGTTTAGAGACTGCTGGGCTGTGTAGAGGTTAGGAGTTTTTTTCTCCTACTGTGGCCTGTCACTGGGTCATGAGGTCCCTGGCTGACGTGGGGCCCACATGTGGCCATGAGAGCAAGCATCCATGGTGCTTTCTGACTTCCTACATGCTGGAATTTCCTTGCACAAATCTGTTCACCTTTCCCTTTTGGGAGTCCTGGCTGCCAAGTACTGTACACTGTGTTATAAAGTATGAGCACCTTTCACTCAGCAGAAGCTCCCTCTCCTGAATCTGGAGATGGTAAGAGCACAGGCTCTGGGACTGGTTCTTAGTCCAGCTGTCTCATATCCTCTCACGGCCTCCACTGGCCCAGCTGTAAACTGGGAGAGATCAGAATCCCCCAGGGTGTCCAGGAGGATTGGTAAAGTACTGGCCTGGGTGTGGTGGGGGTGGGTGTGCTAGACTTTCTTTAGTAGCTGAGTCTTGTGTTTTAAGCAAGTTCACCTTCTGAAGGTTTCCTCATTTATGATATGAATACACTGAATATATAAAACAGATAAAAGCAGTATGTCATTGCTACAAATTCAGTTCAAATGTATAATGTTTACTTAAAAAGACAATGACAGAAGAGCTAGGTAGGCTGTGCTAACGTACACAGATATTTGGGACTGGGGTAGTAAACAGTGGTGTCTTCTACCTTGACAGCATTGCATGCGTTTGTTTCTTGCTATGGCTGTACAGTAAGGAGACAGTTAGATGTCTGTATGTGTTGACAGTGTTCAGCCACTTACCTTGAGCTCTCAGGTTCTCAGGATGTGCTTCTGTTAAAGAGAGATGGCAGAGGCAGTTCCGTTCTAGCACAAGGTAATGGGGTGGTCTTCAGTGGGTTACCATTTGATCTGTGACACAAAGGTGAATGTTGCTTTCTCTTACAGTTCTAAAACAGTAAACACACACACACACAAAAGAAATGAGTCAAAATTGACTAGAACCCATGAAACACCTCCCTGGAACCAAAATAGCTTGAAAGCCAACGGATTCAGCTCTTCTCAGGGCTTTCCCAATATTCTATGACCCCCACAGCTGGAATGCCTTTGTAAGCTCCAGCTGAGGAAGGGATGTTGTGAGGAGACTGATCACTGGTACTAAGTCAGGTGCTCAGGTACAGGAAGTGCCTGCCAACCTGAGTCCTCCTTCCAGGGTGCTGGTTCTGACCTTCAGCTCCTGACTCATCCAACCCCGGGGGCCTGGCTGTGAGTTGGTGCTCAGCTCACACCACAGCTTTCCAAAGCCACGCTGTCTTGGAGGGTGATCACACAGCTTGCCTCGGAGGGCTGCTGTCAGGATGGGTTGCATGAGATAAGTGCCTCTAAAAGGCTGAGCACCGTGCCTGCCTGGCACACAATGAATGCTTAATCAATACAGGGTAGTATCATCATCCTTGCTGTCACCAGCACTTCCCCAGCTTAACGTTTCACAAATGCTTTTTTTTTTTGAGACGGAGTCTTGCTCTGTTGCCCAGGCTGGAGTGCAGTGGTGTGATCTCGGCTCACTGCAAGCTCTGCCTCCCGGGTTTATGCCATTCTCCCGCCTCAGCCTCCCGAGTAGCTGGGACTACAGGCACCTGCCACCATGCCTGGTTAATTTTTTTGTGTTTTTAGTAGAGACCGAGTTTCACCGTGTTAGCCAGGATGGTCTTGATCTCCTGACTTCGTGATCCGCCCGCCTCAGCCTCCCAAAGTGCTGGGATTACAGGTGTGAGCCACCGCGCCCGGATTTTTTTTTTTTTTTTTTTTTTTGAGAGGAAGTCTTGACTTGTTGCCCAGGCTGGAGTGCAGTGACACGATCTTGGCTCACTGCAACCTCTACCTCCCAGGTTCAAGTGATTCTCCTGCCTCAGCCTCCCAAGTAGCTGGGATTACGGGAGTCTGCCACCACACCCGGCTAATTTTTTATATTTTTAATAGAGATGGGGTTTCACCATGTTGGCCAGGCTGGTCTTGAACTCCTGACCTCAGGTGATCCACCCATCTCGGCCTCCCAAAGCGCTGGGATTACAAGCATGAGCCACCGCACCCGGCCCACAGACACTTTTGAAGCCTCTGGCCCTTGCTGTCTGCTAATTCTCATGTCGTCAGAATTGCCACTATCATTTAATGGGCTGCTTTTTCAATTCAAACTCGTGAAAATATTACGAATAATTATCTCTGCACTTTGTCCTGCCTTTCCTTTCCATTTCCCTGGCCAAGACTAATGTCACTTTTGAATAAAATGAACAAATATAATTCTTTGTATAAAACTAGGGGAAACCCAGGGATACAGAACAGGAAGGCTGGTTTATATGCCAATAACTCATCTGTAAATTCATGTAAATGTAATTCTGTGCATTATAGCTAATGCACCTAAAGTCAATTCTTAATGTCTAAGGATGAGCAAATGTGTAACTCTTCATTGTGTAGAGGGGTATAGAGCTTAGCTTGCCATGTCCTGGGTACATTTCCAGTAGTCATTTAGTTAGTACCAGTGATTCCCACTCAAGTGTCCCGTAAGGAGGTACCATGGGAAATAAGAGCAGCCTCTTGGCATTCTGGGTAGGGAGCCTGAGCCAAACTCTAAAGCTGTCTTTATAAAGGGAGGTCATGTGATGGCCAGAAATTGCCTTTGCTTCATGGTGCACTTGGTGGGGAGTCAGGTGTGGGGTGCTGGGTTTCACATCATCCCATTTTCTTTTCTGCCTTCAGACCTGCAATGCTTCTTTTGCCACCCGAGACCGTCTGCGCTCCCACCTGGCCTGTCATGAAGACAAGGTGCCCTGCCAGGTGTGTGGGAAGTACTTGCGGGCAGCATACATGGCAGACCACCTGAAGAAGCACAGCGAGGGGCCCAGCAACTTCTGCAGTATCTGTAACCGAGGTAATCTGCCCACTGTTTCCTCACTTCCAGAGGATGGGCCTGAGCGTGTATGGGAGGCCTAGGGGTGTCTCAATCACCCTGCCTCAGACTCCACTCTTTGCACAGCCACCCCCTACTTCCCACTGAATGATAAACACCTTCATCACCCAACTAGCTATTTGCTACCTCTTCCTTCCCAAGAAGCTTGGGGTGCTTAGAATGGGAAGTCCCAGGAGACCAGCAGGTCAAAACAGAAGGAGAGAGGTTCTTCCCAAGCTTGGGCCCATAACTCTCACCTGCTACTCAGATGGCAGGATGGATGCATTTTGCAGACACCACTGAACCACTGAGGTTGGTGGGGGAGTTAGTAGGTCCCAAAGTGAGAGAAAAAGAGGTTGGTCCGGCTTGAGAGCTTTTGCTGGTTGATTCACTGGCATATGAAATTCAGCAGCCAGGGAAGGAGGTTGAGTCTGGAGATAAACAAGGAGCAGACACTTTGTAGCACAAGTAGTCAGAAGAGAGCCCAAACTCAGGTAGATTGTGGCCTTGAGAGAGGAAAGTGGAAGGTGCTCTGAGCAGGGCAGCATGCTTGAGGACAAGGTGGGCCTAAGTAGTGTCTAACTCTGTGGCAGTGGTGTTGTGTTGGGTGAAGTCAAGCCTGTCCCCAAGGTTCTGCCGGGTCTAGTTGGCTGTTGGAAGTGCTAGATGTTTGTGTTTTGCAAGCACAGCATCAGTGGAGGCTTGCACTGTGTCTGTGCTAAAGGAGGTTGGAGCAGCTATCTGTGAACGTGAGGATGCTTCTGCATGGTGTGCTTTGCTTTGGCCAGTGGGGAGCACTGGGATGTCCTTATCTCCTGGGGCATTCTTGCTTGTCCCAATGCTTCCGAAAGCCTGCTTAGTGGGTGCAGCACTGAACCAGGAGTCAAGAGACCCAGGGTTTAGTCCCAGCCTCTCACTAGGTGGCCTCGAGTTCTCCCATTCCCTCTCTAAGCTTGAGTTTCTTCATCTCTCAAATGGGGTTAAGAATAGCCCCCTTTCCCACCTCACAGGGCTGTTATGAGGATCCCAGGAGACAAGGTAGGTGAAAGGAGCCGCACACTTGGGAGACTCTATCCTTGCACTTTGTAACAATGTTGGGAAAGACATGCTTGTTGACACTCTGGGTTGGACCAGGCACAACACTCCTGCAGGCCTTGGCGGAATCGTTGGGTGCCTGTGCTGTGTTCATGTGCCGAGGTCCACGGTGGAAGGAGATTGCTGAGTAGCTGGGTGTTCTTGGTGTCCTGGAACTGGGTCCCTCCTTGCAGCTTCATACCTGGGGTTTGTACCACCAGGACACCTGCTGTGAAAGCAGGGAAGTAGTAGTGAAGGTCTCTTAAGCTGTCTGTTCTGTTTTCTGACATGTCATTAGAGCCCATTGCTGACAGGAGCTTCCTCCAGGTTGCAAGCGGTGGGCTTGCGCATGCAGGGAGAGTTATCAGGCTGTGGCTGACTGTCTTGACTGGGGCTTCCCCAGCCCTAGAAATAATGTCGTTTCTTGTCTTGCTTCATCCTAACCTGGCTTCCTGACAGCTCCCCCGGATAACTCAAAACCTGCTGTAACAAGCTGTTAGCAGGCATTTTGTCAAGTTTTCAATATGGAAGTTCCCAGTCTGAGAACTGGGGTCAGAGACCAGAGGTTGAAAACTGCTGAGTGGAGAAGGGTGCTCATGATAAAACTCAGAAAGCCCAGACCAGATGGTGGAGTAGGGCAGAAACTGGACAGGAGACCCAGGGCTACAGCCCTTGAAGCCCAGCTCAGGAGGAGAGAAAAACTGAGAGCAGCAGGGACAGTGGGAAAGTTGGCCCAGTAAGGAAGCAGCTGATGTGGCAAAGCCAACAACTATTGTACATCAGGATTTATTTTCCAAGGGCTAGTAAAGAGAACTTGGGCAACAGCCATAAGCTACATGACCGGAATGGAGAATCCAGAAGAGTAAACCAGAGTCTACTTTTTCTCAGAAAAGCCAAGACTGGGTCTGGATCACAGGCCAAACATCTCTGGGTTCCAGAGCCAGAGCGGGAAGTCCCTTTCCTGCAAGAAGACTAAAGAAGGTGCTGGTCCAACCCATGCTGGGTACTCAGAAAGAAGAGAAAACAATTGCAGTTTTTATCAGAAGAGAAGGAGCAGGATTCTACTCCTGGACTCATTCCTTGGGCAGAAATAGGAAGAGACAAAAAAAAAAAAAAAAAAAAAGGAAGAGGATAAAGTTCTTTCTGAGCACCAAAAACATTGAGACATTGGAATCAAAATGCAGAGAGCTCTGTGTCCTCCTTTGCCCTGCTGCCACCAAGCCTGTACCTACAGGAGGGGTTGCACGAATAAACGAATGTTCTTATCTCTGCATGTGTTCAAACAAAGGCTGAATGTCAGAACAGTTAAGATTGAATCAGGTGAACTTCCAGGTGCCCTCAGATCCTTCAATCCCAACAATTCTTAAATAGTTGACTTAAGTATCTACCTATAGATCTGTCTTTTTCAATTTTTGCCACAAAAATGACTCCTGGCTGTGAAGAATGGCAAAGAGGAAAGGCAGCCTGACTCCTGCAGCCTCACACGTGAGTCAGATGCAAGTTGAAGAGACAGATGACTCTGGCTTTGTCATACAGACATATCAGGATGTGTATGATACTATTTGTACAGGAAGATCATTTGCAGTGGAGGGAGTATTATGGCTAGAAAAGCTTGTTCCCACATTTTTGAGTTGAGGAAATCAGTTGAGTTGAACAGTGGAAAAGGGAGAAGGCCCTGGCTGATCACCATGATTTTCTTCCTTTAAAGTTTCTGTAGCAGGATCTTTGTATATATGCCTATGTGCTGGTATGGTGAAGAGGAACAGATTATCAGGAATCCGCCTTTGACAGAGACATTTGAATGCAAACATCATTGCTTGAAAGGTAGAGGAAGCCTTCTCCCCAGTCAGAGGTAAGCACACAAGTGGATGGATGCAGGGAACCTGCTGTTCCCCTGGACTCACATCAAGCTATGTAGGCCCACTCCAACACAGTGCAGTTGGGAATGGCCCCTTCAGGGTTTGGACAAGGAGAAAGCAGTCCCCAACCCCTGCATTGATGTGGAACCTGCCAAAGGATGATTTGCTTCTGGAGTGCCAAGTGCAGGCACACCAGGCAAGAAAATGCAACTGAGGAGCAGTGGCCTTTTGCTAATAAGACCATCGTCTCTGGAGTGAAAGGGCCGGTGGCTTGTTGGTTGTAGTGGCAGTCATATGTGTGCTCAGCATCTCCATTGCGTGGATGGCTGGATCAAGCTGCCTCTTTGGATCTTGGTTAATCAGTGGTGAATGGGTGGGTAAGTTTAGAATTCCGGCTAAATATGTCTGGCTTCAAAGACGTATTCTGCTCAGAAGCTCAGCTTCTGTTTCATCCTAACACTTGGCTGCTGAGTTGCTCTGTGTTTAAATTCTAGGCTTTAAGTGGCAGCTGTGGATCCACTCCTACCACCCCGCCATGTGGTTTTGCTATAGATAGTACAGTCTGCAGCTGGGGTAAAGTCAAGAGGACTCAGCCACGTGTTTCTAAGACTGTTTTTCAGGAAAACTCAGCAAGACAGTTTCGCTGTTGTTGCCCAGACTGGAGTGCAATGGCGCGATCTCAGCTCATCACAACCTCCACCTCCTTGGTTCAAGCGATTCTCCTTCCTCAGCCTCCCTAGTTAGCTGGGATTACAGGCATGCACCACCACGCCCGGCTAATTTTGTATTTTTAGTAGAGACAGGGTTTCTCCATGTTGGTCAGGCTGGTCCGGAACTCCCAACCTCAGGTGATCTGCCTGCCTCGGCCTCCCAAAGTGCATGAGCCACTGCGCCCAGCCAAACTCAGCAAGTTTTTATTGAGCATCTGCTGTGTTCTCTTGGTATAGCTCTCCCAGTAAGGAGTAAACATAATAATTCCTGGTGCTCTCCCGCTCCTTTCTGTCCCCTTTTGATTGCAGTGGACCTGCTCTGGTTCATCACAGGGAGAGAGCTTCATGCTATTTTAGAGACCCCACAAGGGATTAAAAAACTAAGGAAAGGCCGGGCACGGTGGCTCACGCCTGTAATCCCAGCACTTTGGGAGGCCGAGGCGGGTGGATCGCGAAGTCAGGAGATCCGAGACCATCCTGGCTAACATGGTGAAACCCCGTCTCTACTAAAAATACAAAAAAAATTAGCCAGGTATGGTGGCGGGCGCCTGTAGTCCCAGCTACCAGGGAGGCTGAGGCAGGAGAATGGCATGAACCCTGGAGGCGGAGCTTGCAGTGAGCCGAGATGGTGCCACTGCACTCCAGCCTGAGCGAGAGTGAGACTCTGTCTCAAAAAAAAAAAAAAAGGAAAAAATTACCTTCTAAAGTGGTATCATCATATTATCAGAAAGTTCTAATATCTTGTACTGATTGGTGGGAGCCAATGTCTCCTGGTTCTGCTTTGTTTTAGGGGACTCTACAGTACCACCCCAAGGGGCAGGGCTAACAGCCTCTTTCCCATTAGCCTTGTCTCCTCACTCCTGACTACAGCCTCCCTCTTAGGGATGTCTACATGGGACCCTCTTACACCAATCTATACCCATGATCAGCCTCAGGCAGACCACTGCGGTCATAGCACAGGACAACTTGCTCTACCAGGCAGGGCAGGACACCAGCACCTGGTCTAGACAGATCTTTGAAGTAGCTGTATTGGGAAAGGAAGGAAAATTGGCCCAATCCCACATTTCCCTTCAGAACCACTAACTGCTGCTGTCAGAGGAGAACTTGTTAAATAAAGTTCCCACAGGCCAGCCCTGTTTTTCCAGCAGCTTCCATTCTAACATACCATTATGGTCGAAAAATACATGAGTGTAAATGGTAATAATGAAACCTATTGTAAAAGTCCACTGGATATTTCTAGGGCTCAGGGCTAAGACACAGGAACCAATTAACCCATTTATGCTGGAGGTTACAAACTTTTTTGTGAAAAATCAGACTTTAATGATGATCTTGAGCAGTAGGATACAAATAATTCCTAAAAGGTTAGCGTCCCAATAATGGAACATGAGGCATAAGTGGGTTAAAGCATCTGCCCAGTAGCTAAGGGCCAAGTTCTGGTGGCACATGATCCTGGGGTTGGAGTCCAGGCTCTGCCACTCAGTAGCTGTACGTGTGACCAGGTTACTTAACCTCACCAAGCCTCTTTTTTTTTTGAGACGGAGTCTCGCTCTGTTGCCCAGGCTGGAGCGCAGTGGCATGATCTCAGCTTACAGGTGCCTGCTACCACGCCCAGCTAATTTTTTATATTTTTAGTAGAGACGGGGTTTCACTGTGTTAGCCAGGATGGTCTCGATCTCCTGACCTCGTGATCTGCCCACCTCAGCCTCCCTAACCTCACAAAGCCTCTTATTTCTTTATCTGTAAAATGGGTATAATAGTAATCTGTAGCACAAAGGGTGTTGGGCAAATTCTATAGAATAGTGCATGCGGTGTGCTGGGCCCTGGTGTGCCATCAGCACTTCCTAAAGGTGAACCTTTATTACAGTTCCAGCAGCATTCAAAATACCATGCCAATTCAGACTTTTTTAAAACAAATCTCATGCAGACATTACACAGTACTCTTCAGCCTCTGACCCTTTACCCTTTAGCAGTGGATCTCACTGTTATCCTGTGACTGTGTAATTTTGAAAGTGAATGGAAACACCTGATGATGAGTCAACCAGATCTGAAGTGGATTAAAGGGACACTGTCAGGGTGCTGGCACCCTAAGTGGGCCTTATACTAAAAAGCTTCAGTTCCTGCTAAAAGCACCTTCTGATCCTTGACTACAGTGGGGTTTGATGGCATACCTCCTTCCTGTGAAACCCAAGTCAAAATCCTTTTATCGGCCTGCCTGATTCTGTATCCTTGGACGCATGGCTGCTGTGGAAGTTGGCCCAAGATGTGTTCTTCCCAGCCTGAGATATCTCGTGGATCAGACTGACCGAAGCATCTGGGAGGTGGGCTGGAACAGTCCCAAGAAGGCCGGATTGTCCTCCCCCAAAATAAAGACAGAGATCATCCGTGTTTCTTCTCCTGTACGCGAACCTGGTGGATGCTCCAAAATCGAACCAAAACACTACCATGAATAAGAGATGACTGCACTCCTCTGACACAACTTCCTATTTTTGTCTTTGTTCTTCAAAAGGTCTAAACAGTTACTAAATCCTGTTATGCTGAAGGTGGGGAAGTTAGAAAAATAGAACATCTCCTGACAGGTAGAAGACGGGATCCTTGGAGGCGTTCCTTTGGGATTTCATTTTACCTCCATCTCGTTTGTTGTCCAGTTTCCTTTTACGAGGATTAAGCAGGCATCCTGCTGGCTAGAATCCTGTGGCTTCCCTGGAGCCTCAAATTCTTGTCTAACCACATTTCTAGTCATGGTTCCTGCAGGAGACATCCACTCAAACCACCTGTTACTGAGGCACCAAGCAACCCTAGAGGCAGTTGGCCTCTGGCCCTAGCAGGAGCAGGATCTCAGGCCATCCCACCAGGCAGCCAGCCTCAGCCCCTCACCGCAGCCTTGCAGAGTGGGCTCTGCAGAGAAGCCGATTTGTGGACAGTGCCACCCTCCATCCTGAGTCACATGGCTCATGTGGTTGCAGCCATTTTTGAGCCAGGAGGGGGCCCCTTCTAGGTGCAGCTGACCTGGGAATGCTAGCCAGAGCGGCCAGAGGAGAGGAGTTGGGGGAAGGAGAGAGGTATCTCTTGCTGGCCGCGGGATCTCATCTCCTTTTGTCTTGTTTAGGTTTCTCCTCTGCCTCCTACTTAAAGGTCCATGTTAAAACCCACCACGGTGTTCCCCTTCCCCAGGTCTCCAGGCACCAGGAGCCCATCCTGAATGGGGGAGCAGCGTTCCACTGCGCCAGGACCTATGGCAACAAAGGCAAGCGACCCCTTGCTCTGCACTTTGCTTCTCTGCGCAGACTGTGTTGTGGGGGCGCTGGGCTGGGCGTGGGGAGGCGGGAAGGCTGCCGGCTTTCTGGCTGCCTTGAGGAGACTCAGAGATCTGAGTGGCAGTGGCCTCCAGGACAAAAGTCACAGTGGGTATCTCACTCCAGGGCAGTGAGTGAGGCTTTAGGGCACTGCCGAGATCCAGCCTCCGCCTCCTCTTCCCCAGCCCTCCTCCTTTCCTCCTGGCCAGCCCCCACTGTCTGGAGCCCTGCAGGGATGCCCCGGGCCCTGGGCAGAAGAAGAGCCCTGCATGATGAGTCACTATGGGCCTGTCACTGCCTGCTGCCCTTTAGGATGGTGTGGAGCTGCGGCTGAATGCTTTCTCCTCTTTTGACCCAGTGGGCCGGTGGGAGCCAATGTCTGGCTTCTCTCACAGTAGGAGTGGTTGGTTACTGTGAGTGGCCCTTTCTGGAGAGCCTCTGGCTATGGTTGTGAGATGCATGGCAATAATGAGCTATCTGACTCCTCTGACTTGGGAGTTGGTTTGCAGAAAGCTCCCCAGGCCCACCTTCACTTGTTGATTCAGGTTGTTTTGTGGTATGTCACGTTGTCGTTGCCTTGGGGATGAGGCCAGGGGCTTGGCAGATGGTAGAAACAGCAGAGATGGCATGCTCCATGCTCCCATCACAGACCTCCCTTCCCGGCATGGCTCTCTGGACCCAGGCAGGAAGCTGCTGATTGGTGGAGGACTCCAGTGTGGGCCGGGCAAGGCAGAGCAGCCAGGGTTGTCTCTTGGCCCAGCTTGTCTGGGGCCTAGGGTGGGGACACCCAGCCGACTGAGTAGTACAGAGTTGCTTTCAATCTCTGTGCTTGGGCTGCTTGGCCCTGAAAAGGTTTTGGCAGAAGGAAGGCGGTAAGGACAGGGCTATGTTTGCAGCATTAGGAAAAGGATTGGCTTCTGTCTGAGCCATTGATGGGGTCTACCCAGGTTGAGGACCTAATGGCTCTGGTTCTGCCTGTCTTGCTAGGGTGCAGCTAGTCTGGTGCAGGAGGCGAGGCTACTATTACACTGGCTCGGCATCATCAGAATACCAATTTTACCCTCAGAGGCACCCAAAAGAGCGCCTAGGAGTTGGGGGTCTTTGAGTTGTTCTGGGCAGCTGTAGCAGAGTTGCCCTCTCTGTATCCCTTCCTTGAAGCAGGCTGAGATGACGGTGAGCAGTACATGTGCAGCTGCATGAAGAGTCCACAGCAAGGGAGGCTGGCAGCCCTAGGGCCCTGCCGTTTCACCCCTGTAGGCACTCCAGGCTCCCAGACTGACCAGCTGACCCTCCGTGGGTTCTGCCAGGGCAGTGGCTGGCCAATGGCTGCCCTCCACAGGTCTGTGAGCTGGCCCCTCATGACCCCTCCAGGAGGGGGCATCTCCAGAGCCTGGCCTCATCGCTCTCCTATATTTTGTTTTTTCGTAGAAGGCCAGAAATGCTCACATCAGGATCCGATTGAGAGCTCTGACTCCTATGGTGACCTCTCAGATGCCAGCGACCTGAAGACGCCAGAGAAGCAGAGTGCCAATGGCTCTTTCTCCTGCGACATGGCAGTCCCCAAAAACAAAATGGAGTCTGATGGGGAGAAGAAGTACCCATGCCCTGAATGTGGGAGCTTCTTCCGCTCTAAGTCCTACTTGAACAAACACATCCAGAAGGTGCATGTCCGGGCTCTCGGGGGCCCCCTGGGGGACCTGGGCCCTGCCCTTGGCTCACCTTTCTCTCCTCAGCAGAACATGTCTCTCCTCGAGTCCTTTGGGTTTCAGATTGTTCAGTCGGCATTTGCGTCATCTTTAGTAGATCCTGAGGTTGACCAGCAGCCCATGGGGCCTGAAGGGAAATGAGGCAGCTGCTGTGTCCCCACGGAAACAACCATCTGGGGACTGCTGGGAAATGCTGTGAATGCGGAGGGAAGTGATGTTTGGGTTCTGTAGCTGAGAGATTTTTATTCATTTTTAACTGCCCCCCAACCCCACTCCAACTCCTTCTCCACCACCCATTCTCCCAATGGTCTTTAGAAATAGATTTTCATCTGATATTCTGCAGAAATATCAATGAGACTTGGTATGGGACAGGGGCAGAAAACACTACATAGGCCTCCAAGGCAAAACCAGTCCCAGTTTCTTTAATGGGAAGAAGCTGGAATTCCTGGTGCTCAATTCTTAGTGACCCCAATCCTATACCCAAATCTATGATATTCTGGGACCTCAGTGATTTTGGTCCCCTCCCACTTCTCTAGTTCGTCATCCTCCCTTCCCATATCCTTCAAAAGAACCACACTAGGGTCTCCACCTACTTATACAATGCGGATGCCCAACTGTTTTTAAGGAAGCCAGAAGCATCCCATGGACCATGGGGTGAGTGTCCTCCAAGAGCCCCCTGAGCTCAGCCCTCTGCCTGGAGGGCTCCAGACCTTTCTGAGCCCTGCTTGGAGGCGAGCATTTTCACTGCTAGGACAAGCTCAGCTGTTGAGGACACCCCCACCCCAAATTTCAGTTCTTACGTGATTTTAACCATTCAACATGCTGTTGGGTTTTAATTCTCTAATTATTATTATTATTGTTATTATTTTTTAGGACCAGTTGTAGTGAATTGCTACTGAAAGCTATCCCAGGTGATACAGAGCTCTTTGTAAACCGCAGTCACACATTAGGGTTAGTATTAAACTTTGTTTAGATGTACCATAATTAACTTGGCTAGTTGATTGTTTGAAGTCTATGGAAGAAATAGTTTTATGCAAAATTTTAAAAAATGCCAGTCTGGTCAGGGAAGTAGGGGGTTTCAATGCTGTTGGGAACCAGGAAGGTGGGACAGCCGGCAGGTAGGGACATTGTGTACCTCAGTTGTGTCACATGTGAGCAAGCCCAGGTTGACCTTGTGATGTGAATTGATCTGATCAGACTGTATTAAAAATGTTAGTACATTACTCTATCTGCTCCCTTGAGTCCAGTTTTTCAGCTGTGGGGGTCTTTGGGACCCAGAGGTGGGCAGTCCATACCCCAGCACCTGGGGTGGGAGTGGGATCCCAGGAGACCCCTTTTCCACTTCATTGCACCAGTTCCACTGGGATTGACAGGTAGATGGTCCCACTGAAGACTTAGAATGCCAGAATTCACCCATGTGTTCAACAAATATCCACTGCTTGTCTTCACTGCTTGTGTGCCAGGCATGGTTTCATGCTCTTGAGATATGGTGGTGAACAAGACACCACTGTGAGGCTTAATGGGATAGACAGACAACTTAAATATGAGTTCAGATAATGAGAAATACAAGGAGAAGAACTGGGCAAGGTGAGGGGACAGTGACAGCAGGAGGGTGAGTAGGGTGGACCAGGGAGGTGTGAAGTGGGGTTGGGGCTCTGGGAGGGAAGGCTTATAGAGGGGATCTGACACAGCCTACCCAGCTAGCACCTGAGGAGGGATGTGGGCAGGGACTCCTCATGGCCAAGGGGCTCTAAGAAGCTCAGCAACTTGTCTCCCCCACCATGTTATCTACCTGATGTTAAGTAAAAGGTTGGTGCACCGTTAATGGTGAATGTATGAAGAAAAGAGGGAAAGAACAACAAACAGGAGGCAAGAAGTAAGCACGATGGAGAATTAATAGGAATAAGAATGAGGAACAAGAAGGGACAGGCAGACTTAAGGCACCCTGGGCATCTTGAGAAATCTCAGGGAAGAGGGAAACCCCTAAAAGGATAGAGACAGCATTTAACCTCCAAGCAAGAAGAAAACAAAACAATGGTAAAGGAGAGAAAAACAGACCTAGGGGAACAAACAGCACAAAAATTTTTAGACCCACATTGGTATCAGAATTACATTATTTTTTGTTTTTTTGAGACGGAGTTTTGCTCTTGTTGCCCAGGCTGGAGTGCAGTGGTGTGATCTCGGCTCACTGCAACCTCCGCCTCCCAGGTCCAAGCAATTCTCCTGCCTCAGCCTCCTGAGTAACTGGAGTAACTGGGATTAAAGGCATGCACCACAATGCCTGGCTAATTTTTGTATTTTTAGTAGAGACGGGGTTTCACCACATTGGCCAGGCTGGTCTCGAACTCCTGACCTCAGGTGATCTGCCTGCCTGGGCCTCCCAAAGTGCTGGGATTACAGGCGTGAGCCACTGCACCCTGCCTAGAATTACATTGTTCTGGTGTAAAGGTAAAGACTCTCAGCTGAATTTTTTAAAAAACAATTCTAAGCCATTTACACAAAATCCTTGGTAAGCTGCTGGGCTTTGCAGACTGTGTGGAATAGAGGCTTAGGCCATTAGATGTGAGTATCAAAGGAAAGGGTGACCCTAGAATGTGGAGGCCCTGTGGACACGTAGCTTTGTGACCACCACAGAATCTGGTCACACCCACTGAGTGTTAAGAGAACCTGGCCTTGAACCAAGGACTTGACTGGGCCAGCCCGAGCTCCTGAACGCATTTTAGTTCTGCTCCCTGGAGACCTGTGAGCATGTCCATGGACAGGTAGGGACCACAGGTATTAGAAAGGAGTATCTGTCACATGGCAGGAGGGGAACAACAGAGCAAGCAGGCTGTTGCATCTTCCAAAGCACTGCTCCCTTGGCAGCCTAAGCTTTGGGAGGCTAAGGCAGGAGGATCACTTGAGGCCAGGGGTTTGAGACCAGCCTGGGCCACATAGGAAGACTCCATCTCTACAAAAAATGAAGAACAGCTGCACATGGTGGTGCCCGCTTGTAGTCCTAGCTACTCAGGAGGCTAAGGCAAGAGGATCGCTTGAGCCCAGGTGTTCAAGGTCACAGTGAGCTATGATCACGCCACTGCATTCAAGCCTGGGTAACAGAGTGAGGCCCTAACGCTAAAAAAAAAAAAAAAAAAAAAAAGGAAGAACCACCTGAGCTTTGGCTATTCGGCTCCATCATCTGCTCTCTGCCAACCTTGGGGAAATCCCTAAATCTCTGAGCCTGTTTCCTGATCAGGTCTTTTGTGGAGACCAAAAGAAACCATCATCATGAGCTAATCCCCTGCACAACCTATAAGGTTGGTTTCATTATTCTATTATCATCCCCCTCTTGCAGGAAACAGGCTCAGAGGGATGGAGGAACTCCCCTGGGTCACATAGTAAGTGGAAGAGTCAGGATTCAAACTGAGGTCTGCCTTGTCCTCAGACTTTACTCCTAAGCTCCCAGTGATAGTTTCTGGTTTTTTGTTTTTTGGTGTTTTTTTTTTAGACAGAGTCTCACTCTGTCACCTAGGCTGCAGTGGTGCTATCTCGGCTCACCTCCACCTCCCGGGTTCAAGCGATTCTCCTGCCTCAGCCTCTCAAGTAGCTGGGATTACAGGCACACGCCACCACACCTGGCTAATTATTTTTTTGTATTTTTTGTAGAGACAAGGTTTCACCATATTGGTAAGGCTGGTCTCAAACTCCTGGCCTCAAGTGATCTGCCCGCCTTGGCCTCCCAAAGTGCTGGGATTACAGGCGTGAGCCATGGTGCCCAGCTCACAAGTGCCTCTTGAAGGAGGAAATTCCACAGCCATGCCCTCTCTTACCTTGAGTGACAATGATCAGCACTCACTCTAAAGGTACCTAAAACTTACCCAGAAGTATCACTAGCGTCTCACAAATCCCTCCTGTCCATTGGAGGAGGAAGGCTGGCGGGATTCCCTCCAGTTTACATAATTGTGCCTGGCTGCTTAGCACCTGGCAGCAGTGTCTCCAGAATTCTACTCCTTACAAACTCTACCTCTCAGTCTCTCTCCCAAGGCTGCGTACCCTACTCTGCACCTCTCCAAGAGTGGAGGACGACTGGTAGATGGTGTGAAATGATTTTCACTGGGGGAAGGTAGGAGAAGGGCAGAATGATTAATGTCTGGATTTGCATCTCTTGCTAAACTGCTGTGAAAGGAAATACCAAATATTTATCTAAGAGACTAATCCATCCTAACAAAACAAGTTTCCTTTAAGGACAGGGCAGTGCAGAGGTAGGAGCCTCTGAAATAAAACTTCTTTGTATCACTGTGAATGGGCATACCAAAAAAATAACTTATTTTTCCTTCAGGGAAGTCTTCTGCCCTCCAAAATCTGGCACCCTACCCCATGGCCAGTCCATACCAGGCAGAGGTCAGAGCCTGTGGCAGCAATGAAGAGGGACTTCGAGATTATTAACATCTCCCTCCCTCCTTCCAAGTCAAAATCTGTGCCCTGAAGCTGCTGAATGTTTTGGAGTCCATGTTAAGCAGCACAAACTCCATGAGCTGTGGGGCTTGTGTTTCATTTTTCAAAGCTTTTCTTTGGATGATGATAAACTATTGTTTATTTGTGAAGTTTCCTCTGCCTCTAAAATACTTATCTCTTGTCTATCTAAGGAACTCTTTTTCAGAAGCTCAGTTCAGATTGCCCCTTGCCTACAAAGCTTTTCCTGCCCCCTCCGCAAGACAGCTTATGTGTATTACATCACTACCATGTGCTAAGCACCATGACAGGGGTCTTACATACATCAACAACCCTATGCTGTAGGTATTATTTTGTTCTCATGGAGTCCCAGAGAAGCAACTGCCAATGTCACATAGCTGTGAAGTGGCAGAGCCAGGACTTGAATTCAGAACTGTCTGACCAGGGAGCCCAGGACTCCATCATGATGGATGTGATACTTTGTGCCACCTCCCTGTTTTGCACATATTTCCACTTTTGCATCATCTTTTTAGGGATCTATCTCCCCACATGAGACCAGATTTCTTTGCCAATGGGGATCAGGCAAAGATAATTCATCTCTGTATTCCCATTGCCTAGAATAATAGTTCCTGGCACTTGGCAGCCACTAATTCATTCAACAGATATTCTGAGTGTGCTAAGAGAGACTTAATTCCTGTCCTCAAGGAGCTTTAGCATAAAGTAGCACAGGACATGGGACATACACATAAATAAGTGTCTATAACACAAGAGAGAATGAGGCATGGGAAGTGATGGAAAATACATGCTCTGGTGCTGTGGAGAAAGATGGGATGCCGTCCTGGTCTAAGATGCTGGCCAGGTGGCATTAGAGTAGGACCCTGGAGCACACTAGGACTGGGACATGTAGGGAGGGGGGCAGGGTGCTCACAGGCGGACATGGGCAAACTTGCCCTTCAAGTCCAAGTAACAGCTGACATTTGAAGTGACAAACCTCTTCATGTCACCAAGGGAGACAAAGGGCCCTTTCAGACTGTAGAAGCTGCTGGAAAATGCTGGCCAGCCATCGGACTGTGAAGAGCCCCGGGGGCAGGATAGACCATGTTCTAACATGGAGGCCAGTTTGGTGGGAAGCATACTGAGGCTGGACACCAGGATGAACACAGGATAAAATGATGTTACCTTCCCTCACTCGAGGCTGCCTTTCCCAATAACACAGCCCCATACCTCACAACCCTCTTGCATGCCCAGGGCCAGAGCTCAGGAGGAAAGGCCAAGCCAGAGCATTGGGTGGGAATGCAGGAGAGGTGGACATCCTCATTACATGGGGCCTCTTCCCAGGGCTCACCCCACTACAGGTCCTGAGAATATTTTAAAATGCTTTCAACTGTGTAAACAAACGAGGCACCTGAGAACCCCAAGTAGGCCATGCCTATGGAAGCCATATTCCCTGCCCGTTTCACATTTCCTCAGACTGTTGTTTAATGTCAGCCTGAGCATCTGCCCTCCACACCTCCTGCTGTATGGGATCATCCTTCTCATTAATACTGAAGTTAGAATGGCTTTGGCCCCATTCCATAAAGGGTGGGAGGCATCTCCTCCAACATCTCCAAACATGGTGAAACCCTGTCTCTACTAAAAATACAAAATTAGCCAGGTGTGGTAGCACACACCTGTAATCCCAGCTACTTGGGAGGCTGAGGCAGGGAAATCACTTGAACCTGGGAGGCAGAGGTTACAGTGAGCCGGGATTGTGCCATTGCACTCCATCCTGGGCGAAAGAGTGAGACTCCGTCTCAAAAAAAAAAAAGGTCCCTTCTCAAGCAAGGTGCAGTAGCACATGACTGTAGTCCCAGCTACTCAGGAGGCTAAGGCAGGAGGATGGCTTAAGCCCAGTCCAGCCTGGGCAACATACCAAGTCCCTGTTTCTAAAAAAAAAAAAAAATGTTTAAATGGTCCCTCTCTCCACTGGCATCAGCCCAGACATGGAACCTAGGGCTTTTCCTTCATTTTTTTTCAAAATCAGTAGGTGCTCTGATGTTCACCCTGATTTGGGGACAACAGAGACTAAGTCATAGCCAGCACATAAAACGCACTGACAGTCCAGTCCCTTCATACCTGCCACAGGAAACATCTCCCTGGTGAGGCTGTTCCTCAGTACCCTCAGCTGCCCTCAGGTGGCTGCTCATTCTCAATCTCCCCAGCCACCTGTCCTACTTCCTTGGCCCCCTCAATTCCTTCATCCTGGGCTTATCCCCATCCCCTCCCCAGAGACACACAATTCTCACTGTATTTTGCAGGTTACTTAGATTTTTTCTTTTTCCTTTTTTTTTTTTGAGACAGGGTCTCTGTTACCCAGGCTGGAGTTGCGTGGTGTGATCTCGTCACTGCAGCCTCAACGTCCTGGGCTCAAGTGATCCTCCTACCCCAGCCCCCCAAATAGCTGGGACGACCACAGGTGTGCACCGTCACACCTGGCTAATTTCTAATTTCTTTCATTTTTGGTAGAGACAGGCTTTCGCCATGTTGCCTAGGCTGGTCTTGAACTCCTGAGCTCAAGTGATCTGCTCACCTTGGCCTCCTAAAGTGCTGGGATTACAGGTGTGGGCCACTGTGCCCAGTCGAGATCTTTCTTTTTCTAATTATGAACTATGTTGAGTGGGGATAAGGAGGAACAGGGATTCACCTTTCATGTCCAAACAGATTATCAAGGTACTTCCTGAAAAAAGACAATTTCCTAAGAGGAATACTGCAGCCAGCTTTTTAGATAGCAATCTTTATCTTCTCATTATAATATTAACAACTACCATTTATTGAGCACACTTCTAATCCTCATGACCATGAACGGTAGAGTCATCTCCACTTCATAGGTAAGAAATGAGGCTCAGCCTGGGCAACATAGTGAGACCTCATCTCTACAAAAAATATACAAAAAATTAGCCAGGTGTGGTGGCATGCATCTGTAGTTCCAGCTACTTGGAAGGCTGAGGTGGGAGGATTGCTTAAGCCCAGGAGGTTAAAGCTGCAGTGAGCTGTGATCATGCCACTACACTACAGCCTGGGTGACAGAGTGAGATCTTGCCTCAATAAATAAATAAAAAGTGGTTATGAGAAAACAGCAGGTTTTAAAGGAACAAAATTGCCTAGGTGGTAAGACCTGAACAATGTTTAAAAAGATGCATGAAAGGCCAGGTGCGGTGGTTCACACCTGTAATCCCAGCACTTTGGGAGGCCAAGGTGGGCGGATCACTTGAGTCCAGGAGTTTGAGACCAGCCTGGGCAACATGGCAAAACCCCATCTCTACAAAAATACAAAAATTAGCCTGGCATGGTGGTGTGCACCTGTAGTCCCAGCTACTCAGGAGCCTGGGAGGTGGAGGTTGCAGTGAGCCGAGATTGTGCCACTGCATTCCACCCTGGGTAACAGAGGGAGACCCCGTCTCAATCAATCAATCAATCAAATAAAAAGACGCATAGAAAAAAGACTGGAAGGGAATGCAGTTGCAACAGATTTATTGGGGTGTCTCATCCTACATAAATGTAAGCATTTTTAGTGATTTTCACTAGCCATCCTCAGTAACACCATGTCAAGTTCCTCTTTTCCAGTGGGTAGCTTCATGATGGCTGCCATAGACTCAGCTGCTTTCAGGAATTAGAACAGTCTCCAACTTGTATTTAAGATTCATTTAAAATGTTTACACATAAAAATATTCATTTAAAAATGTCCATCTCGGCTGGGTACAGTGGCTCACGCCTGTAATCCCAGCACTTTAGGAGGCTGAGGCGGGTGGATCACTTGAGGTCAGGAGTCGAGACCAGCCTGGCCAACATGGTGAAATCCCGTCTCTACTAAAAATACAAAAAAAAACACAACAACTAGCTGGGCATGATAGCGTGCACCTGTAATCCCAGCTACTCAGTAGGCTGAGGCAGGAGAATCGCTTGAACCCAGGAGGTGGAGGTTGTAGTTAGCCAAGATCACACAACTGGACTCAGCCTGGGCAGCAGAGCAAGACTCCGTCTCAAAAAAAAAATCCATCTCAAGGTTCCCTTCAAAGCTCACTGCCTCACTGCAGCCTTAACCTCCCAGGGTCAACTGATCCTCCCGTCTCCACCTCCTAAACAGCTGGAACCACAGGTACACAACCATACCTGGCTAATTTTTGTTTTTGTTTTTGTTTTTTTTTTTGAGACAGAGTCTCGCTCTGTTGCCCAGGCTGGAGTGCAGTGGCGCGATCTCGGCTCACTGAAAGCTCTGCCTCCTGGGTTCACACCATTCTCCTGCCTCAGCCTCCTGAGTAGCTGGGACTACAGGTGCCCGCCACCATGCCCAGCTAATTTTTTTAAAATTTTAATTTTTAGTAGAGACGGGGTTTCACCGTGTTAGCCAGGATTGTCTCGATCTCCTGACCTCGTGATCCGCCCGCCTTGGCCTCCCAAAGTGCTGGGATTACAGGCGTGAGCCACTGCGCCCGGCCTTTTTTTTTTTTTTTTTTTGGTAGAGATGAGGTCTCATTATGTTGTCCAGGCTGGTCTCAAACTCCTGGGGGCTCGCATGCAATCCTCCCACCTCAGCTTCCCAAAGTATTGGGATTATAGGCGTGGGCCACCACATGCGGCCTGATAGCTCATTTCCTTTTGGCAGTGAATAATATTTCATTGTTTGGATGTACCACAGTATATTCATTTATTTACCTACTGAAGGACATCTTGATTGCTTCCAAGTTTTGGCAATTATGAATAAAGCTGCTGTAAACCTGTGTGTGGAGGTTGTTGTGTGGACTTAAGTTTTCAACTCGTTTGTGAAAATATCAAGGACTGTGATTGCTGAATCACATGGTAAGAGTATGTTTAGTTTTGTAAGAAAATGCCAAACTGTTCTCCAAAATGGCTCTACCATCAATTTTGCATTCCTACCAGCAATGAATGAAAGTTCCTGTTGCTCCACATCCTTGTCAGCATTTGTTGTCTGGATTTTGGCCATTCTGATAAATGCGTAGTAGTATCTAATCGTTGTTTAAATTTGCATTTCTCTGATAACATATGATGTGCAGCATCTTTTCATATGCTTATATGCCATCTGTATATCTTCTTTGGTGAGGTGTTGTTAAGGTCTTTGGTCCATTTTTAAAATGCATTGTTTTATTTTGTTTGTTTATTTATTTAGAGATGGAGTCTCACTCTGTTGCCAGGCTGGAGTGCGGTGGCGTGATCTCGGCTCACTGCAACCTCTGCCTCCTGGGTTCAAGTGATTCTCCTGCCTCAGCCTCCTGAGTAGCTGGGAATACAGGCGTGCGCCACCACGCCCAGCTAGTTTTTGTATTTTTAGTAGAGATGGGGTTTCACCATGTTGGCCAGGATGGTCTCTATGTCTTGACCTCGTGATCCGCCCACCTCGGCCTCCCAAAGTGCTGGGATTACAGGCGTGAGCCACTATGCCTGGCCTATTGTTGAGTTTTAAGAGTGCTTATGCATATTTTGGATAACAGTCCTTTATCAGATGTGTCTTTTGCAAATATTTTCTCCAGTACATGCTTATGCTCATCTTCTCATTCTTTTTTTTTGTTTTTTGAGACGGAGTCTTGCTCTGTCACCTAGGCTGGAGTGCAGTGGCGTGATCTTGGCTCACTACCAGCTCCGCCTCCTGGGTTCACGCCATTCTCCTGCCTCAGCCTCCCAAGTAGCTGGGACTACAGGCGCCTGCCACCACGGCCGGCTAATTTTTGTATTTTTTTTTTTTTAGTAGAGACGGGGTTTCACCATGTTAGCCAGGATGGTCTCGATTTCCTGACCTCGTGATCCGCCCACCTCGGCCTCCCAAAGTGCTGGGATTACAGGCATGAGCCACTGTGCCCAGCCATCATCTTCTCATTCTTGTGACATGGTCTTTCACAGAAGAGAAATTTTTAATTTTAATGAAGTCTAGATTGTCAGTTATTTATTTCATGGATCATGCCTTTGAGTGTTGTACCGAAAAAATAATAACCATATCCAAGGTTTTCTTCTGTTATCCTCTCAGAGTGTAAGGTGTGTGTCTAGATTAATTTTTTGCATGTGGATGTCCAGTTGTTCCAGCACCATTTGTTGAAAAAATTATCTTTGCTCCATTGTACTGCCTTTGCTTCCTTCCACTATATTTATTCCTTCCACTATATTTATGTGGGTCTATTTCTGGCCTCTCCATTCTGTTCAATTGATCTATTTGTCTATCCTTTCACAAATATCACACTGCCTTCATTACTGTAGCTTTATAAGTCTCAAAGTCAGGTAGTGTCAGTCTTCTAACTTCATTCTTCTCCTTCAATTTTGCCTCTCTGTATAAACTTTTAGAATCAATTTGTTGATATCCACAAAATAACTTCTGGGATTTTGATTGGGATTGCTTTGATCTATAGATCAAGTTGGGAAGAACGGACATCTTGACAATATTGAGTCTTCCTATGCATGTACCATGGAATATATCTCCATTTAATTCTTTTTTGATTTTGTTCATCAGAGTTTTGTAGTTTTTTTCATACAGATCTTGTACATATTTTGTTAGGTTTATACAAATTTTGTGGGGTGGTAATATAAATGTGTTTTTTATTTCAAATTCCACTAATTCATTGCTGGTATATAGGTAGACAATTGAGTTTTGTATATTGACCTTATAACCTGAAACATTGATGTAATCACTTATTAGTTCCAGGAGTTTTTCTGTCAATTCTTTCAGATCTTTCCTTTCCCTTCCTTCCCCTTCCCCTCCCCACTTCCCTTTCCTTTTTCCTTTCCTGTCCTGTCCTCCTTTCTTTTTTCTTTTTTAACATCTCCCAAGGCTTCATCATTCATCTTTCAGATTTTCTACAGAGATGGTCATGTCATCTGTGAACAAAGACAGCTTGATTTCCTCCTCCCCAATCTGTATACCTTCTATTTCCTTTTCTTGTCTTATTACATTAGCTAGGACTTCCAGTACAATGTTGAAAAGAAGTGATGAGAGGGCACACCGTTGCCTTGTTCCTGATCTTAGTGAGAAAGCTTCTGGTTTCTCACTATTAAGTATGTTAGCTGTAGGTTTTGTAGGTATTCTTTATCAAGCTGACGAAGTTTACTGAGAGTTTTATCATGAGTGGGCATTGGACTTTTTTTTTTGGAGACAGGGTCTTGCCCTGTTGCCCAGGCTGGAGTGTACTGGTGTGATCATGGCTCACTGCCATCACCATCTCCTGGGCTCAAGTGATCTTCCCACCTCAGCCTCCCAAGTAGCTGGGACTATAGGCATGTGCCACCATACTTGACTAATTAAAAAAAAAACTTTTGTAGAGATGAGGTCTCACTATGTTTCCTAGGCTGGTCTTGAACTCCTGGGCTCAAGCAATCCTCCTGCCTTGGCCTTCCATAATGCTGGGATTACAGGCATGAGCTGCTGTGCCTACCCCAAACATTTCTTTACCATGACCATTTCACAGCTATACTTACCTAAGTCTAATGGTAATATTCATGCCCTGGGGTTCTTCTGGATTCATTTCCCTTCCTTGTGTATTGGGGAAAGTCACGTGCTTACCCCTTTGTTCTGAAGTAAAACAAATGCCCATTTTCTACGTTCAACTTTAAGTGGAATTATGCTGGTGCTTGGGGCTTGGGATTGGAGAGAAGAGGAGGGGATCTGCCCTTGGTGTCTTGACATCATTAACCCTTTTCCTGATGCCCTCAGCTGGCTGGAGTCTGGAGAGATTCATTTGGCCACAGTCCACTTTCTGGGAAGTTTTGTGGAAAGGACAAGTAAATATAAACAACTGAGAAATGTGATCTAGAGGGTAGGTAGGTGTGAGGAATTCTTTTTTCTTTTTTTTTTTTCCAACTTTTAAGTTCAGGGGTACATATGCAGGATTACATAGAAAAACGTGTGCCATGGTGGTTTGCTGCACAGATTATCCCATCACGTAGGTATTAAGCCCAGCATCCATTAGCTGTTCTTCCTGATGCTCTCCTTCCTCCCCCGCCACACCGTCCAACAGGCCCCAGTGTGTGTTGTTCCCCTCTGTGTGTCCATGTGTTCTCATCATTCAGTTGCCACTTATAAGTGAGAACATGTAGTGTTTGTTTTTCTGTTCTTGCATTAATTTGCTGAGGATAATGGCTTCCAGCTCCATCAATGTCCCTGCAAAGGACATGATCTCATTCCTTTTTATGACTGCATAGTATTCCATGATGTATATGTACCACATTTTCTTTATCAAGTCTATCACTGATGGGAATTTAGGTTGGTTCCATGTCTTTGCTACTGTGAATAGTGCTGCAATGAAATGAAAGATACATGTATGCATGTATCTTTATAATAGAATGATTTCTATTCTTTTGGATATATACTCAGTAATGGCATTGCTGGGTCAAATGGTATTTCTGCTTCTAGGTCTTTGAGGAATCGCCACACTGTCTTCCACAATGGTTGAACTAATTTACACTCCCACCAACAGTGTAAAAGTGTTCTTTTTTCTCTACAACCTCACCAGCATCTGTTATTTTTTGACTTCTTAATAATAGCCATTCTGACTGGTATGAGAGGTGTGGGGAATTTATTGTTTTTACAGAGGGTGGAGAAGGAAGGCCCTGGCAGAAGCTCCACCCAGAGCTCCACAGAGTTGTTAATGGTCTTAAGAACTGGGAGATAGTACGGTCATGTAGCCAACGCAGGACTGTGAACTCTGGGGATGCTCCCATCTACATTCACCACCATTCTTACCAAAATAAAACAAACACTGTAGGTACTATGCCTGCATGGTGACTATGTCTGACCCCAGACTGCTTTGTCTTAGAAAAGGAGCCCATCTCCATTCTCAAGATAGGGTCTGATCCTCACATAATGACCAGCTCACTTATGGGCTCGTGTGGTCACGATTCTCATGGTCTACAGTGCTGCAGACCAGGAAGCTGTAGCCCCAATCCCTGCTCTCCTGATTTTGGCTGGCAGTGGGCCACCTTCCTTGCCCTTTACACAGAAAGCTGCACTTCCCAGAACTGTTTTCAACAAGCTGCTTTCCTCCTCCTCAAACCTGCCTGGACTGGTCAGGGCACTCTACCAACAATGCTTTGTTTTCCCTTCCCAAACTTGGCTCTGGCTCCAATCCTATCAGGGCACTTGTACGCAACTGCCCAGGAGCGACCAGCAGGGGGAGCCAGAAAAATTTAGATTTTTCAGCTAGACAAAAGAGGTCCAGGATAAAAGTTGTTTCTCAAGGCCCAGGTAATTTTCTCCTCATTTAAGTTACAGAGAACCGGCTGGGTGTGGTGGCTCACACTTTTAATCTCAGCACTTTGGGAGGCCAAGTTGGGCAGATCACTTGAGGCCAGGAGTTTGAGACCCGCCTGGGCAACACAGTGAAACCCTGTCTCTACAAAAAATACAAAAATTAGCCAAGCATGGTGGTATGCGCCTGTAGACCCAGCTACTCCAGAGGCTGAGGTACAAAAACCACTTGAACCCTGGAGGTGGAGGTTGCAGTGAGCCGAAGTCACACCACTGCACTCCAGCCTGGGTGACAGAGCAAGACCTTGTCTCAAAAAAAATCTATATCTATATCTGCATCTGTATCTGTATCTATATCTGCATCTGTATCTGTATCTGTATCTATCTATCTACCTACCTACCTACCTACCTATCTAGAGAGAACCAACCTACCTACCTACCTACCTACCTACCTATCTAGAGAGAACCAACCTACCTACCTACCTACCTACCTACCTACCTATCTAGAGAGAACCAAGTGTATTGTTAAAACAACTGCTGATTCTGAGGTTCAGATGAGCGGAAACCCAAATGGAGTTCATCCATTTAGTCATCAACAACTTTTTTTTTTTTTTTTTTGAGACAGAGTCTCGCTCTCTCACCCAGGCTGGGGTGTAGTGGTGCGATCTTGGCACACTGCAACCTCCGCCTCCCAGGTTCAAGCAATTCTCTGCCTCAGTCTCCTGAGTAGCTGGGATTTACAGGGGCCTACCACCACGCCTGGCTAATTTTTTTTTTTTTTTTTTTTGAGATGGAGTCTCACTCTGTCACCCAGGCTGGAGTGCAGGGGCGCAATCTCGGCTCACTGCAAGCTCTGCCCCCCGGGTTCACGCCATTCTCCTGCCTCAGCCTCCCAAGCAGCTGGGACCACAGGCGCCCACCACCACGCCCAGCTAATTTTTTGTATTTTTTAGTAGAGACGGGGTTTCACTGTGTTAGCCGGGACGGTCTCGATCTCCTGACCTTGTGATCCACCCGCCTCGGCCTCCCAAAGTGCTGGGATTACAGGCGTGAGCCACCGCACCTGGCCTGATTTTTGTATTTTTAGTAGAGATGGGGTTTCACCATCTTGGCCAGGCTAGTCTTGAACTCCTGACCTCGTGATCCATCTGCCTTGGCATCAACAACTATTTATTAAGTACCTACTATGCACCAGGTTAGACACTGTATGTAGAATAATTAAGAAGACTGCTAAAGTCCCTAACTTCATACATTATAGAGATGAACTAAGAGAGCTGGTGAGTGGAGGTCCAAGTCACTTTGACTTGAGTAAAGTGAAAATGTGTGGCAGGTTCATGGGACTCTGAAATGGGAGAGACAAAAGAGAGTTTAAGGCTGGAAAACACTGTGATTCTATCAATACAAACAAAACAAAACAAAACAAAACTCTCTCTCAGAGAAAGAATACTGTACACAATAAGACTGCTAAAAGAAGTCAAAATTAGAGCACACACCCCAGTATCTAAGCGAAACAGCATCAAGAACAAGTAGAAAATGAAAACTTGAATAATATACTGACTTTGTTTCAAAATAATCTAGTGGTAAGAGGGAGTGAGTGGGGGTGGGTATGAAAGAAGACTGGGTATGTGTTGATGATTCCACAAACTGGGTGACAGGTATTTGGTGATTTATTATATTACTTTCTTTACTTTTGTGCATGTTTTTAAATTTCCATAGGGAAAGCTAATATATATCTCTTTCTCAACAACTTAGTCAATAACCACTGTAGCCAAGTTTCACACAGGACACCCTATTTGCTATGGGAGAAAACTGAGCAGATTTGCCCATGCAAAATTCCTAAAGAGTTCAGAACACACCAAAGCTGTGGATGTTTTCTCTCCCGTCCCCTTCTCTCAGATATGTTGCTAGAGCTTATGGTCCTGATCCTTTAGATAGGGGTACAATGGCTATAAGTTATTTCATAGGGGCTCCTTATCTATGTTATTCATGAGGGCAGGGACTGTGCCTATTTCATATTTGAATCCTGGAATGTAGCCAGGATTCAATAAAAATTTATTGAATGCACATCAAATATGTTATAATTATTTAAAAGGTCTGTACAGAAAATATGAGTTGGGTTATGACTCAAGGTTCTTTAAAATATATATTCACTGTACTTCTACACACCCATTAGGATGGCTATTATCAAAACATAAGAGTTGGTGAGGATGTGGAGAAATTGGAACCTTTATGCACTGTTGGTAGCAATGTAAAATAGTACCACTACTGGAAAATGGTATGGTGGTTTCTAAAAAAATTAAAATTCAAATTATCATATGATCCAGCCATTCTAGTTCTGGTATATACTCAAAGGAATTGAAAACAGGGTCTCAAAGAGGTATTTGTCTACCCATATTCACAGCAACATTATTCACAATAGCCAAAAGGTAGAAACAACCCAAGTGTCCATCAGTGGGTGAATGGATAAACAAAAGATGGTATACAATGACATATTATTAGCTTTAAAAGGAAGGAAAGGGCCAGGCACAGTGGCTCATGCCTGTAATCCCAGCACTTTGAGAGGCCGAGGTGGGTGGATCACAAGGTCAGGAGATGGAGATCATCCTGGCTAACACGGTGAAACCCCGTCTCTACTAAAAATACAAAAAAAATTAGCCAGGCGTGGTGGCGGGCACCTGTAGTCCCTGCTACTCGGGAGGCTGAGGCATGAGAATCGCTTGAACCTCCCCGGGAGGCGGAGCTTGCAGTAAGCCGAGATCGCACCACTGCACTCCATCCTGGGCGACAGAGTGAGACTCCCTCTCAAAAAAAAAAAAAAAAAAAAAAAGGACGGAAAGGCTGAGTGCAGTGGCTCAAGCCTGTAATCCCAGCACTTTGGGATGCAGAGGTGACCAGACTGCTTGAGCTCAGGAGTTCAAGACCAGCCTGGGCAACATGGCGAGGCCCCACCTCTACTAAAAATACAAAAAAATAGCCGGACGTGGGCTGGGCGCAGTGGCTCAGGCCTGTAATCCCAGCACTTTGGGGGGCTGAGGCAGGCGGATCACTAGGTGAGGAGTTTGAGAACAGCCCGGCCAACATGATGAAACCCCGTCTCTACCAAAAATATAAAAAATTAGCCGGGTGTGGTGGCACACCCCTGTAATCCCAGCTACTTGGGAGGCTGAGGCAGAAGAATTGCTTGAACCCGGGAGGCAGAGGTTGCAATGAGCCAAAATCGCGCCACTGCACTCCAGCCTGGGTGACAGAGCGAGACTCCATCTCAAAAAAAAAAAAAAAAAAAAAGCCAGACGTGGTGGTGCACACCTGTGGTCCTAGCTCCTTGGGAGGCTGAGGCAGGAGGATAGCTGAGGCAGAGGTTGCAATGAGCTAAGATTGTGCTACTGCACTCCAGCCTGGGTGACAGAGTGAGACCATGTCTCGAATAAAAAAAATACAAATAAAAAGGGAGGATATTCTGACACGTGCTACAACATAGATAAACCTTGAGGACATTATGCTAAGTAAAATTAGCCAGTCACAAAAAACAAATACTGTATGATCCCACTTATATGCCATACCTCGAGTAGTCAAATTCATACTATAGAGTCAGAGAGTAGAATGATGGTTTCCAGGGGCTGGGGGAATGGGGAATGGAGAGTTGGAAATTGGGATCTTAAATGTGGGTTAATGGCCAGGTGTGGTCACTCATGCCTTTAATCCCAGCACTTTGGGAGGCCAAGTCCAGTGGATTGCTTGAGCCTGGAGTTTGAGACCAGTCTGGACAACATGGCAAAACCCTGTCTCTACAAAAAATACAAAAAAATTACCTGGGCATGGTGGCACTCACCTGTAGTCTGAGCTACTCGGGAGGGTGAGGTGGGAGAATCGCTTGAGCACAGGAGGTTGAGGCGGCAGTGAGGCGTGAGTATGCCACTGCACTCCAGCCTGGGTGACAGAGGAGTGAGACTCTGTCTCAAAAAAAAAAAAAAACAGAAAAAAGTGGGTTAATGAAATCAACCTGAAACCATCTACTTTCATCACTGAAACAAAATTCTACCTTGTGCAAATTTAAACTCATTTAGTTCATAACAATTTTCAGTAGGCACAAAGACTAGAGAGTTTTGTTATAAAACATTAAATCAGGCCCGGTGCACTGGCTCACACCTGTAATCCCGGCACTTATGTAGGCCGAGGTGGGTGGATCGCCTGAGGTCAGGAGTTCAAGACCAGCCTGGCCAACATGGCAAAACCTCGTCTCTACCAAAAATACAAAAATTAGCCAGGTGTATGGTGCATGCCTGTAATCCCAGCTACTTGGGAGGCTGAGGCACAAGAATCGCTTGAACCCATGAGGCAGAGGTTGCACTGAGCTGAGATCGAGCCACTGCACTCCAGCCTTAGTGACAGAGCAAGACTCCATCTCAAAAAAAAAAAAAAAAAAATTAAATCTAGCACGGACTTTAATGAAATGGGTACAGAATCCAACTGGGGAAGAGGAAAATCATCTTGATTTCCCAAAAGGGAATAAGAAATTCAAAACCTCCCTTGGAAAAAATACTGAGATATATTTTCTGTTGACCAATAGGAAAGGAGCATTTGGTAATGATAACAACAAAGGAATCCATGGGAGTGGGGGATGAATTCTGTTCCTGGCAGCACTCTGACATCACTGGATGACCCTGAACAAGACCCATAATTTCTGATGGCTCTTCCTTTCTAAAGACGAGGGTACAGTACATATGGAAACAGTGCTTATAAATGCTTGTTCTGGCACCATGAAAGAGGTTTAAAAGACAGGTTCTTTCCCATGTGTCTCCTCATCAGTATGACATCTCAGGGATTGTAATTTACAACAAAGCATATCATAGATCATAAGGCCAGTGCCACTCTTGACTTCTGGAAAGCTCTGGTTCAAGGAAGAGGTTTTCTTAGCAGGCTTTCTGCATCAGAAGTTCAGTCCACAACTGGCAGGAAGTATCAGCACTGAGCTGAAGCAGATAGGTATAGCCTGAGTTTCTGTGAGGATGAACTAAAAACAGCAGCCAGTATTCTTTGACATCAAGGGAGTGGGCCTCAGTAGTGAATGAGTCTGGGTCCAGAAGAAATAGTGCAAACAAGTCTTTCTAAAACAGTAAAAAACAACTCAGAAAATAAGAGCCTGGAAAATCTAACCACAGCACAGTAAGGCAATAAAACAAACACTTCTTAATTACCTTAAATGGCAAGTGTGCTAATTATGCAAATGATCCACACAGAAGTACTTGCATCAAAAAAAGGAAAATATGAAATAATGATCATGATATACTAAAATGTACTAAAAGTCAGAAGCACATTTGGAGTAATAAAAGTAGAGCATTCAAAAAGCTAAATAATCAAAACAATATATCATACTGGTAGAGAATAGACATATATATGTATGGAACAGAATTGAGAGTCCAGAAATAAACTTAAACATCTGTGGTCAACTGACTTTCCACAAGAGTATTAAGACTATCTGGCCGGGCGCGGTGGCTCACACCTGTAATCCCAGCACTTTGGGAGGCCAAGGCAGGTGCATCACGAGGTCAGGAGATCGAGACCATCCTGGCTAAAACGGTGAAACCCCATCTCTACTAAAAACACAAAAAATTAGCCGGGCATGGTGGCAGGCACCTGTAGTCCCAGCTACTGGGGAGGCTGAGGCAGAATGGCGTGAACCCGGGAGGCGGAGCTTGCAGTGAGCAGAGATCGTGCCACTGCACTCCAGCCTGGGCGATAGAGTGAGACTCTGTCTCAAAAAAAAAAAAAAAAAAAAAAAAAAAAAAAAAGACTACTCAATGGAGAAAGGTTAATCTATAACAAATAGTGCTGGATATCCACATGCAAAATAGGATATCAGAAGCATAAAACACTAAAGGAAAAAACAGATACAATTGAGTTGATCAAAATTTACAACTTTGTGCATCAAAGGACTATCAAGAAAGTGAGAAGACAACCCACAGACTGGCAGAAAATATTTCCAAGTCATATATCTGATAAGGGTCTAGTAACCAGAGTATATAAAAAACTCTTGGCTGGGTGCGGTGGTTTACGCCTGTAATCCCAGCACTTTGGGAGGCTGAGGCAGGTGAATTACCTGAGCTCAAGAGTTCCAGACCAGCCTGGGCAGCATGGTGAAACCCCGTCTCTACTAAAAATACAAAAAATAAGCTGGGCACTGTAGCATGCACCTGTAGTCCCAGCTACTTGGGAGGCTGAGACAGGAGAATCACTTCAGCTTGGGAGATAGAGATTGCAGTGAGCCAAGATTGTGCCACTGCACTCCAGCCTGGGCAACAGAGTGAAACCTTGTCAAAAAAAAAAAAAAAAAAAACAAAAATGAAAAACAACTCTTACAACTCAACAACAAAAAGACAACCTGATTTTTAAAATGGGGGAAAGGACTTCAATAAACATTTCTTCAAAGAATATAAACAAACAGCCAACAAGCACATTAGTCATTAGGAAAATGCAAATCAAAACCACAATGAGATCCTACTTCGCACTCACAAATATGGCCATAATAAAAAAGGAAAAAAATCAACAACATCCTTGTTGGCAAGGATGTGGAAAAATTAGAATCCTCATACATTGCTGGTGGGATGTAAACTGGTACAGCCACCAGTACCTGACTACAGCCATACCACCACGAACATGTCCAATCTTGTCTAAACTTTGATGTGGAAAAACTGATACGGAAAGTAGTTTGATCAGCCGGGCACAGTGGCTCACGTCTGCAATCTCAGAACTTTGGGGAGCTGAGGGGGGTGGATCACCTGAGGTTGGGAGATGAAGACCAGCCTGGCCAACATGGCAAAACCTGTCTCTACTAAAAATACAAATTTTTGTATTTTTAGTAGAGCCGGGTGTGGTGGCTCACACCTGTAATCGCAGCTGCTCGTGAGGCTGAGGCAGGAGAGTCATTTGAACCCAGGAGGCGGAGATTGCAGTGAACCAAGATCACATCACTGCACTCCAGCCTGGGTGACAGAGCGAGACTCCATCTCAAAAAAAAAAAAAAAAAGAAAAAGAAAAGAAAATAGTTTGATGGTTCCTCGAAAAGTTAAACACAGAATAACCAGCAATGCCACTCCTAGGTATATACTCAAAAGAAATGAAAACAGGTATCAAACAAAAACCTGTACATGAATATTCATAGTAGCATTATTCATAATAGCCAAAAGGTGGAAACAACTCAAATGTCCACCAACTGATGACTAGATAAACAAAATATGGTACATCCATACACAGGAATATTATTCAGCCATAAAAAGAAATGCTGATACATGCTACAACTTAGATGAACCTTCAAAACATCATGCTTAGTAGAAGAAGCCAGACACAAAAGGTTGCATATAGTATGATTCCATTTACATAAAATGTCTGGAATAGGCATATCCATAGAAATACAAAGAGATCAGTATTTACTTGGAACACTTGGGACAATAACAAATAAAATAATAAAAATTTTAAAAAAGAGTCCAGGCGCAGTGGCTCACGCCTGTAATCCCAGCACTTTGGGAGGCCAAGGTGGGTGGATCATAAGGTCAGGAGATCGAGACCGTGGTGAAACCCCGTCTCTACTAAAAATACAAAAAATTAGCCGGGCACGCTGGCGGGCGCCTGTAGTCCCAGCTACTCGGGAGGCTGAGGCAGGAGAATGGCGTGAACCTGGGAGGCGGAGCTTGCAGTGAGCCGAGATCATGCCACTGCACTCCAGCCTGGCTGACAGAGCGAGACTCCGTCTCAAAATAATAATAACAATAATAATAATAATAATAATAATAATTATTATTATTATTATTTAAAAAAGAAGGAGATCAGAGGTTGCCAGAGGGTGAGGAGAAAGGAAAATGAAGAGTGGCTGCCAACAGGTACTAGGTTTCTCCCATCTGAGTACTAACCAGACTCAACCCTGCTTAGCTTCTGAGATCAGACAAGATTGCACATGTTCAGGGTGGTATGGCTGTAGACAGGTACCAGCGTTTCTTTTTGGGGTGATGAAGTGTTCTGGAATTAGATAGCGGTGATGGTTACACAACCTTGTGAATATACAGACATGAGCCACATAATGATGTTTCAGTCAACAGACCGCATATATGACAGTGGTCCTATAACACAGTGGTCCCCAACCTTTTTGGCACCAGGGACTGGTTTCATGGAAGACAATTTTTCCATGGACTGGGGGTGATGGGGGGATGGTTTCAGGATGAAACTGTTCCACCTCAGATCATCAGGCATTAGTTAGATTCTTGGAAGGAGTGCGCAACCTAGATCCCTAGCATGTGCAGTTCACAATAGGGTTCACACTCCTATTAGAATCTAATGTCACCACTGATCTGACAAGAGGCAGAGCTCAGATGGTAATGTTTGCTCACCTGCTGCTCACCTCCTGCTGTGCTACTGGGTTCCTAACTGGCCACAGCCCTGGGGTTTGGGGATCCCCGCTATAAGATTATAATACCATATTTTTACTGTACCTTTTCTATGTTTAGATACACTAATACTTATCATTGTGTTAAAGTTGCCTATAGTATTTAGTACAGTTAGATGCTGTACAGGTTTGTAGCCTGAGATCAGTAGGTTACACCATATAGCCTAGATATGTAGTAGGCTGTCCCGTCTAGGTTTGTGTAATTATACTCTATGATGTTTGCATGACGCATTTCTCAGAACCTATCCTTGTTGTTAAGTGACGCACAGGTACTAACAACTACTGAACTGTATGCTGTAAAATGATGAATTTCATGATATGTGAATTGTATCTCAATAGAAAAGAGCATTTATAAAGTTTTTGTTGCTAAATTTATTTACTTTCGGTAAATTTTCTTTTAAAAGATGTCTATGTTTTACTGTCTTCGTGGTGCTGGGACATAACTGACATCTGAAGCCTTGAATGCCTCTCTTTGCAAACTCATTTGTTACTACTCAGTTACCATCTCACCTCCAATACCCAACTGCATACCAAACCTCTAGCCATTACTAGAACACATACTCTGAGCTCTGCCATACTTTAGCGCCTGCACACATGCTGTTTCTTCTGCTCAGAAACTTTTGTGCCTTCTGTCCATCCCATCCAAGCCTGTTTTTCAATGCCCAACACAAATGTCACTGGTACCCTGAAACTTCAACTCCTCCTTGCCCCATCTCAGAAAATGTAACTTTCTGTATTCTTCTCTCTGTATATTCCTCTAAAGTGGTATTTCTTATACTATACCATAATGACCTGGTCCCATATTTGTCCTCTTCTTCCCTCTTCATCCCAGACTGGGACCACAAGGAGGTAGAACTTTTTCTGTTTTTTTTTTTTTTTGAGACAGAGTCTTGCTCTGTCGCCAGGCTGGAGTGCAATGGCACGATCTCGGCTCACTGCAACCTCTGCCTCCCGGGTTCAAGTGATTCTCCTACCTCAGCCTCCCCAGTAGCTGGGATTTCAGGCGCACATCACCATGCCCAGCTAATTTTTGTATTTTTAGTAGAGACGGGATTTCACCATGTTGACCGGGATGGTCTCGATCTCTTGTCCTCGTGATCCGCCCGTCTCAGCCTCCCAAAGTGTTGGGATTACGGCCATGAGCCACTGCGCCCGGCCGGAGGTACAACTTTCTTAGTCAATCTTGAGCACCAGTGTAGTGCTTAGAATCGGGTAGTGAGAGAAGCTAACATTTACTGAATGCCTAAGAAGTCCAGGGCACATAACAGTCTTCACAACCATCCTGTGAAGTACGTATTACCCTATCCATTTTACAGATAAAGAAACTTGAGTTTCAAGAAAGGTATACCTAAGGTCATTCAACTTGTTAAATGATGGAATGGAGGAGTTGAGACCAGATTGGACTTCTGCCTCTTTTTTTTTTTTTTTTTTTTTTGAGACAGGCTGGAGTGCAGTGGTGTGATCTCAGCTCACTGCAAGCTCTGCCTCCCAGGTTCACGCCATTCTCCTGCCTCAGCCTCCCAAGTAGCTGGGACTACAGGCGCCTGCCACCACGCCCGGCTAATTTTTTCTACTTTTAGTAGAGACGGGGTTTCACCGTGTTAGCCAGGATGGTCTCAATCTCCTGACCTCGTGATCTGCCCACCTCGGCCTCCCAAAGTGCTGGGATTACAGGCGTGAGCGACCGCGCCCAGCCGAACTTCTGCCTCTTAAATCCAGGGTTCTCCCTGTCAGTACAGTGAGGTGGTAACTAGCAAAAGCTATGAGATATGACTGCCTGGGTACATATCCCAGCTCTTTCACTTATCTTTGTGGCTTTACGCAAATTACTTAACCTCTTTATGATTGTTTCTTCATTTGTAAAAGGAAGATAATAACAGTGCCTATATATAGGGTTTTTATGAAGAATAAATGAGATAGTATATATAAAGCACTTAGAACAGTATCTGGCACATACTAGGTGCTCAATAAATGTTAGCGATGACATTTATTACTGTCCCACATTGAGCTGGTGTTTGTTAAACACTGGATGACTGGATAAAATGTACATCTTTCATGCAGAGATTGCTCGATTATCCATTTCACTGATTCAGGATCAGAGTCTCTTAAGAATCCAGAGAGGGGATGTTGAAGCCCTAAGAAGTAAAAACACTAAAATGATAACATTTTGACCTTTTGAAAACTCTTTGAAGTGGCAATGGCCACAAAATTGAGCGGAAACCAAACATATTCAGCCCCATTTCCAGATAAATTGGATTTGCTAAACCACTCAGAATAACAAGAGCAAGAATTAGATGTTCAGCTAAGCTCTAGCTTCTGATCCTAGATGGTGGCAATAACAACGATAGTATTAATGATAATAGCAGAAACTCTTAATATGTGTGAGGCATTCTTCTAAATGCTTTACATATATTAATTTAATGTTCATCGGAGCAGATTCTCCTACTGTATCCAAGAGATCAGAAATTCAGAGCAAAAAGCAGATTGCTGCCTGATAGCAGATCCACTCTAGGAATGGGGAGATTTTCTCATAAATCTAATGACTGGTGAAAGTGACAAGAGGTTAGTCCACTCAGTGTTGGAAAGGACAAGATCCTAGAAAGTGGAAATGCTCCACTATTGCTTTAGGGGGAACAGCCTGGCTACAACTGGGCAGACTTTCTATTACTAACATCAGGATAATAGGGAAGCTCCTGCCAATGCTGCATAGAACTAAGAACACTTAGCAGTGATGGCTGACTTCCAACTGAGCCATTAAGGTAAGTGTAGAAGAAAGCTCCAGGTAGAAATATCTTTGGGAACTCAGAGAACACACTGAGTGTTTGAAGCTGGTACTTAATCTATTATTGAACTCAGAGTTTGCCATTCTGGGGCCAATTTGAGTCCACTTATGACACCTCCCACAGCACTGCTCATTTCTGTTAACTGGGCTTCACAGAGGGTGAGAAGGGCAGCAATCAGATCATATAATTGGGCCTCATTGTAATAAAATGTTGATTTCTGTTGTCCTTGGACTTCCTTCCAGCCACAATCACTCTATGATCTTGTCTGAGATTCTTTTTCCTTTCTCTCTCCATTTTGCTGACTGTAATGGAATAATAGCAGAAGCTCTCAATCTGTATGAGGAATATATATGAAGAATGTGTAACATTCACTGTGTTTCCTAATAGATGAATTATCTAAAGGACACCTCTTAAGAAGAGATGAGATGGAGCCAACTGTCAGAAAAAAAAATGGGTGAAGAAAGTTTCAAGGAGAAGACTCCACAGAGCAGAATGGGAAAGATGGCCAGGAGAAAAGTGAGATAATAAAAGGAAAAGCAGTCCCTGACACAGAAGGTACTCAACAGCTATTTGCTGACTGAAAGAATAAACACTAATAAGAGAATGAAATACCAGGATTATAAAGAGGGAACAAAGATATTTTCCCATCTACTTTGTTGTTACCCCACCCAGGATATATTTAGGTTGGTGCAAAAGTAATTGCGGTTTTTGAATCGTTAATAGATTAACATCTAATTTATGTATTGTTTACATACATACAAATACAAACTACAACCATATATGATACATTTAAAGTAATACGCTAGGCACAGTGGTGCATATCTATAGTCCCAGCTGAGGTGGGAAGACTGCTTGAGCATAGGAGTTCAAGTCCCCTTGGGCAACATAGCAAGACCCTGTCTCTAAACAAAGAAAACAAAAAAAGTGAAGTAATTAATGCCAAACATTGCAATCAGGGTTTGGTGCACTTGAAATACACAAATGAGTGTTTTTACATGCTGAAGACACAGCAACCAACAACTGGGGCTAAAGTGCTGCATTCCTAAAGTTAACCCACAGAGCCTATCATGCCATGCCAAAGTTCACTGCTCCGGCTCCAAACCGGGGACTTTCCTTTCCTATTTCCTCTCCCTAACAGCTTAGAGCTACTGGACTCCATCCTTGAACTCCTCTGTTTACTAAAAATGTTCTTTATAAGCTATGAAATCTGGATTTGAGGTCTGGTTTCTTACTTCAACTTTGCAACTCATTTCCCACCCCGAGTTCACACAATCTCAAAATGTTCATGAATTTTATGGCTAGACCTAAAGCTTCTTTGTGCCTTCCTGCCAGCCTGCCTTTGTTTTGGTACCTTCTAGCCTATCCTCACTCACTTGAGTTTTTACTCTAATTTTCTGTCCAGTCTTCCCACCACTAGTCCCCTATCAAATTGCTTGCTGGACATTTCTATATACATAGCTTGCTTGTCCTTACGTCAAATTCAAAACTACCAAGAGCAAATCCAATGTGTGTTCCCACATCAGCTCCCCTTTCTCACCTCCCTGGTATGGTTACTGACCAATTAGAATGAATGTCCAACCACTCAGAATGCCACAGGCAATAGGCCAAATCAGTGTACTGGGTCCAATGTCAGCCCTGTCCATAATCCTTCTACCCAGCTAAACTTGGAGGAATTGTCTGTTCTCACAGTCTCCCTTCTTCATCTCTTATTCCTTCCATAATCCATACATTTTTAGCCCTCCTTCCTTATCATAAAAATTCCTCCTGACAAGGTCACCAATGGCCTTCTTGTTGCTAAAACCAATTAATTCTTTTTAGCTTTTATTTCACTTGATCATCCTTGGTAACATTTAACAATGCTGACCATTCCCTCCTCCCTGAAACACTCTCCTTAGCTTCTCTGACATTATACTCTTCTGGTTGCAATCCAGTCACCTCTGGTGGTGCCTTCTCAGCCTCCCCCAAACCTGCTTTTCCTCAGGTTTCTTATCTCAGTGAAAGTCACCACCATCCCCTAAGCTCCTAAACCAGAAACCGAATTCCTTATTCTTCTTATTTGCTTCTAACCTTCCTTCAGTCATGGAATCCTGCTTATTCTTAGTTTGCTTCTCTTCACTGCCTACATTTTTTTTTTTTTTTTTTGAGATGGAGTCTCGCTCTGTCGCCCAGGCTGGAGTGCAGTGGCATGATCTCAGCTCACGGCAACCTCCGCCTCCCTGGTTCAAGTGATTCGTCTGTCTCAGCCTCCCGAGTAGCTGGGACTACAGGCACGTGCCACCAGGCCCGGCTAATTTTTGTATTTTTAGTAGAGACAGGGTTTCACCATATTGGCCAGGCTGGTCTCAAACTCCTGACCTCGTGATCCGCCCGCCTCGGCCTCCCAAAGTGCTGGGATTACAGACGTGAGCCACTGTGACCAGCCTTCACTGCCTACATTTTTAAAGCACTTAAATATGTGCTAGGCAGGTGTGTTCTAAGTGATTTATCCTCACAATAAGCCCATAAGGTAAATTTTATTATCTCCAATTTTCAGATTAGGTAACAGAGGCAAAGAGTGGTTAAATAACTTGCATAAAGTCACATAACTACTAAGTGGCAGAGCAGGATTCAAACCCAGGTGGCCTGACTCAATTCTGGATCCAGGTCACTATCCTATCTCACTGAAATCTCTGCAACAGCCTCCTTGGTTTCCAGCCTTCCATCATGGATGGCTTCCCTGTAGCCACAGTGATCTTTGTTAAAACAGAAGTCTGACTCTTGCTACTCTTTTGCATGAAAATCTTTACTGGCTCTTTATTGCCTTCAGAATAAAGTCTACACTCAATATGACATTCAGGGACCTCCATAACCTAGCCAGAAAGTGTATACTTCTTTGGCTTCATGTTTTTGGTTTTTGGCCCCATTTTAACCACGACCCTAAAAGCTCCACTAGCACAATGATAGCCTATACTTCCAGGTTTCTGCACTGTTTGATGTGCCAAGAACACTCTTTCCCACCTTCACATTCGACGACTTCTGATAAGCCTTTTCTGATTTCCTAAGACCAGGGTATATGCCTCTCCTGTGAGCTCCCACAGCTCCCAGTTCTAATTCTCACTGTAGCATTTATTTCACTGTGTTATATGATTCTACTACCCATCTACTAATATTAATATCTGCTTTATCACAAGATTGTGAGCTTCCTGAGAATGGGAACTGTGTAGGATTCACTGTTGTATCCTCAGTACTCACTGCTGCCTACCTGGTGCACGGTAGGCAATATTCATTTAATGAATAAAACTTTATTGTCTATATCACACTCTTTAACACTTACTTATATAATGCCCTATATTGATTTTATTTTCATATGTGTTAGCCTGATCTTTATAACCAGAATGTCAGTTTCTTGAAAGATAGCAATTATACCCAGTACTTCTTTTATAAATTTATTTACTCTTAGGCTGGGTGCAGTGGCTCACGCCTATAATCGCCAAATTTTGGGAGGCTGAGGCAGGAGGATCACTTGAGTCGAGGAGTTTGAGGTCAGCCTGGGTATAGTGAGACCTCATCTCTATAAAAAATAAGCAAGATTAGCTGGGCATGGTGGCATGCACCTGTGGTCCCAGCTATTCAGGAGAGCTGAGGTGGGACGGCTTGAGCTCCAGAGCCTGAGGCTACAGTAAGCCATGATCATGCCACTCCAGCCTCGGTGACAAAGCGAGATCCTGTCTCATAAAAGAAAAAAAAATTATCTTTAGAGATGGGGTCTCACTCTGTCCCCCAGGATGGAGTGCAGTGTCATGATCATAGCTCACTGCAGCCTTGAACTCTTGGGCTCAAGAGATCCTCCCACCTCAGCCTCCCAAGTAGCGGGGACTACAGGTCTGTGCTGCCATGCCCAGCTGATTCTTTTATTTGCAGAGATGGGGGTCTCACTATGTTGCCCAGGCTGGTCTTGAACTTCTGACCTCAAGCAATACTCCTGCCTCAGCCTCCCAAAATGTTGGAATTATAGGCAAAACCCACCATGCCTGGCCTATACCTAGTACTTACAAGTTAGGAGGTACTCACAAAAATTCCTGATAACAGCTAACATTTATTCAGGGATCAATGAATGTCAACAATCCAATGATTTTGGTAATTTTTCTCTCTCTCTCTGCCTCCCTCCATATGAGGAAACTGAGCCATAGTTTAGTAGCTTGCCTAAGATGACATAGCTAGGAAGCAACAGAGCTGGGATTTGAATCCTCATGTTGGTGCCTGCATTCTTAACCACTATGATAACAGGCTAAGAAAGCTTAAAATTATAGATGCTAAGTAACTTACCTAAGATCTTTTTAAACATTTAAAAAGTTTTTTTTTTCCTTTGTTAGTAGGCAAGGAACTAAGATCATAGTGCAGTGCTAAGACTAGAACCCAAGTATTTTCAAAGGCTACGCTCGGCTGGGCGTGGTGGCTCATGCCTATAATACCAGCACTTTGGGAGGCTGAGGTGGGTGGATCACGAGGTCAGGAGTTTGAGATCAGCCTGGCCAACATGGTGAAACCCCATCTCTACTAAAAATACAAAAAATAGCTGGGCGTGGTGGCGGGTGCCTGTAATCCCAGTTATTCGGGAGGCTGAGGCAAGAGAATCTCGCTTGAACCTGGGAGGCGGAGGTTGCAGTGAGCCAAGATCGCACCACTGCACTCCAGTCTGGGCGACAGAGCGAGACTCTGTCTCAAAAACAAAAACAAAAACAAAAAAAAACCCCAAAGCCTACGCTCATAAATTATTTGGTATACTGCTTCTCCTACTTTAAAAGTCAGTACTAAGCTCATACTGGGTGTTAATACATTTTAAAACTGCAAATCCAGTTTACTGAAATTGGAGAATATCAGATCCCCTTCCAAGAGAGGCATAATTGTAGCTTACTGGGTGAATTCACCTTTTATATTGACAGTCTAGCCTTATGAACCAATTAAGTTTGTAGTTTCTGCATTCTTCCTGTGACACTGAAGACTGTTTTCATCAATGTGAAAACCATGTTATCTAAGCTAAATCAAAATCCACTCTCATTCAGAATTTATTCTTCCTTTTATTTCTCAACACCAGTGACATGTTCCCAAGTTCTCTGCCTTTGTGGCTCCTTAGTTTCCAGTGTGGAATGTCTTATTTCTGAAAGCAACCTGTGATTGACAAGCCTTCTTGGCTATTCTGTAGTTTACCCTAAAAAAAATCTGTTCTCTCTGTCGGCTCATTAGACTGCTTTTCCTTACATGGTACTCTGCTTTTCCCCTTTATTTCAAGCATTTATTAAAACTAAACTATGTACCAAGCATACACAAAATGGATATAACCTAACTCTTTGAAGGCTACACTTCAAAGAAACAGCCTTGGTGTTTACATATTTTGACTAGAATATTATTTCCCTAACAAGCTGCATAAAACCATTCCTGCTCAGTTTGTAATTATACACCAAAATATTGAGCACAATTTCAGTAGCTACTTCTACAGCACATCATATAAAGTGAATTGCTGGAGCCAACTCATTAGGTCTTATTCCAAAGATTTTTACCAACACTTTGGCCCTCTTTTGCTGACAAAAAAGGATTCTTAAGCCTTTTAACAGCTTTATAACTTCCTTATTAGAGTTCACTCACTAACATATCCTGTTAACAAAATGAAGTGCCCATCCTTCTTGGGAAACACTCTGGAGAATATTTCCTGATTTCATCGCACAGCTTTGTCTCTGGATTAGTAATCATCTAATACGAAACTGAGGATATGAGTATTATGTTTCACAATGTTGTCTTCAAGGATATAAACAACTCAAAATTTAAGTATTTGAGTAGCACTGTATCACATTATTATTGCCGTGATATTTTCAGAAGAAATCTGAAGTCTGCGCTAACTACAGGCCATAAAATATGGCCATCTTGCCCCAATAAATGGAGCAAAGTTCAAATCTGGATCATCAGAAAAAGACAAGAGGCACATTTCTAAACCAAATCTGATTGCCTTGAGGAAGGAAGGTACTGAACCTGTTAGAGTACATCTCTGAAGGACTGAGAATCAAGTCCTTCATTCCCTCGCCCCCTAAAAAAATCCAATCAATCATGCTGATAAATGTCTTAGTTACAGGGGAGAAAAAATAGACATGACTAAGCTGAAAAAAATCTTCTGGCTTTGTATCTTTTCTAGGCAGTGCTGTTCCTGATAAGACACATGACACAAAATATGGTTTTGCTGAGTATCAAGGTAAGTTAGGGAAAATAGTATTTTTTAAATAGGAAAATTAGATGACAACAGCAACAGGTAAAGAAGCCTTGGGCTTCTGAGGTAGAAATACTAGCATCCCTACATAGGCATGGTAGATAATCTGAAACTAGTACAAGTGCTGGCCTGTTATAGCCTGTCTCTACCGTAATCAGAGGGAAAAGTATTACAATCCAGCAAAAGTAGCCCTTCAAAATCTAAGGAGGAGCATTTCATCAGATATCAATAAATGAACCCTCGCTGCATACAAAGGCAATACATTACGTGCTGAGTGACCAACTTCAAAGAACCTTCTGCTGTTCTGAAATTTAAAACTACTCTCATTTCCTCAAGCCTGTATTTTATGTAATGAAACAAAATGCACATCATATGTCTCCTGCTGCACTGTAAGAGTAAACATAGGACCCCTCCCACCAAAAATTGTGCAAAGAGCCCTTCCCCTTCAGCTTTTTGCTATAGAAATATCCTACTACTTCCCTGAAAATAGTATATGCTTTCTTTGGCAAGTGGAATATCACCCTGTTACTCTCTCCCTTACTCTGCTTCACTTTTTTTCGCATAACGCTTAAGATTACCTAATATTTTACATGTTTATCATGTCTCTCCCAATTAGAATATAAGCTTCATGAGGGCAGAGATTTCAAATATTTTGTTCACAGATGTATTCCCAGTATCTACAACTATATTTAGCATGTAGCAGATTCTCAAAAATATTTGTAAAATTAATAAAATTTAAAAATCCCTATTATATTGGAATTGTTAAATTAAAAAAAAATTTTGGCCAGGCGCAGTGGCTCACACCTATAATCCCAGCACCTTAGGAGGCCAAGACAGGCGGATTACGAGGTCAGGAGATCGAGACCATCCTGGCTAACACAGTGAAACCCCGTCTCTACTAAACAAAATACAAAAAATTAGCCGGGCGTGGTGGCGGGCGCCTGTAGTCCCAGCTACTCGGGAGGCTGAGGCAGAATGGCGTGAACCCAGGAGGCGGAGCTTGCAGCGAGCCGAGATGGCGCCACTGCATTCCAGCCTGGGCAACAGAGCAAGACTCTGTCTCAAAAAAAATAAATTTTTTTTTTAAGACAGGGTCTCTCTTTGTTGCCCAAGCTGGAGTGCAGTGGCATGATCACAGGTCACTGCAGCCTCCAACTCCTGAACTCAAATGATCCTCCCACCTCAGTAGGTGGGACTACAGATGAGTGCCACCACACCTACCTATTTTTTTTTTTTTGTAGAGATGAGGGTCTTATTATGTTGCCCAGGCTGGTCTCAAACTCCTGGGCTCATCCTCCCACCTTGGCCTCCCAAGTGCTGGGATTTACAAGTGTGAGCCACTATACCTGGCCAAATTTTAAAATGCTACCGTATCTGTGTATGAATATGTGTGAATAAATTTACAGACTCTAGGGTGTAATTCACAGGGTAGACCAAGTCAAGAGTCAGAGGATCAGAAGCTTGGGTGGGGAGATAGGAGAGTGATTGCAAAAACAAAGCAATCTATCTTATTAAATGGACGAAAGGGATCAAACATTATCAGTAAACTATTTTAAAGAGTGAATTAAATGTATCTCTCTATCCTTTCTATGAGTGTAGTGAATTCAGATTCACCTCAGATTAGTTGAATTGACACTAGTTTTCTTCCCTGATAAAGCTTTTAAAATTTATTTAGTAAAGTGGCCAGGCATGGTGGCTCACACCTGTAATCCCAGAACTTTGGGAGGCCAAGGTGGGTGGATCACCTGAGGTCAGGAGTTTGAGACCAGCCTGGCCAACATGGTGAAACCCCATCTCTACTAAAAAAATACAAAAAAAAATTTAGCCAGGCGTGGTGGCGCACACCTTTAATCCCAGCTACTTGGGAGGCTGAGGCAGGAGAATTGCTTGAACCTGGGAGGTGGAGGTTGCAGTAAGCCGAGATGGTGCCACTGCACTCCAGCCTGGGAGACAGAGACTCTGTCCCCCCCACCCAAAAAAAAATTAGTTGTTTTCCTCCTTAAATTACAGCCTGCAAGATTGAAACAGAGTTTCCCCATTTCTATTTTGGGATCTGACTGAGTCACAAGGTAGTCTTGACGAATCACTCTGCTCTATCTCTCAGTTTACTGAGGCTGCCTGGGAACTTGAGCTGTCAGCCAAACAGGAAGAAGGGCCCTTCTGCCTACTCCAAAAGGCCTCAGTCAAATGGATATGGTGAGATTTAATGATGGATATAAATTACAGCAAATGGATTTCCTATAGGGTGAGGGAAAAAAAAAAAAGCAAACATTTTACTTAAATTCCTCTATACAATTTAGGGCTGGCAGAAAGGGTAGACTATTACAATGTAGCTGAGCAAATTTTTCCATGTTTGCATAACATGTGTTTTCAACTAAAGATACTCCTTCTATAGTCCTACTATATACAACACCCCAAAAAACCTCAAATGTAAGAAAAAGCAATGTGACAGATTTGACCCTGGCCAAGTTACACTGTTTTTTTTTTTTTTTTTTTTTTTTTTTTTTTTTAAGTGTCAGTGTTCATAAAGGCCCTTTTTCTTTTTCAAGGATGGGTATAAAGTGTTACTCGGCCGAACGCGGTGGCTCACACCTGTAATTCCAACACTTTGGGAGGCCGAGGCAGGTGGATTACGAGGTCAGGAGTTCAAGACCAGTCTGGCCAACACAGTGAAACCCCCGTCTCTATTAAAAATACAAAAAATTAGCTGGGTTGTGGTGGTGTGCCCCTGTCACAAGGTAGTCTTGACGAATCACTCTGCTCTCTCTCTCAGTTTACTGAGGCTGCCTGGGAGCTGTCAGCCAAACAGGAAGAAGGGCCCTTCTGCCTAACTCCAAAAGGCCTAAGTCAAATGGATATGGTGAGATTTAATGATGGATATAAATTACAGCAAATGGATTTCCTATAGAGTGAGGGAAAAAAAAAATCCAGCTACTCCGGAGACTGAGGCAGAATTGCGAGAACCCGGCAGGTGGTTGCAGTGAGCCGAGATTGTGCCATTGCACTCCAGCCCGGGCGACAGTGTGAAACTCTGTCTCAAAAAGAAAAGAAAAGAAAAAAAAAAAAACTATTACTCCACTCCCCACCAGAAACTCTTATTTTTTCCCCCCTATGTGGTCATGAATTCCTCCTGGGTGCATAGCTCCCTAAGTTGTTCTGTGTTTTAGTGCTTATAATTTCCCACATCCCATGATGCCCCTTGATAGAATTATTTTTTCTGTACTCACACAAATGGAAACAGAAGAGATGAAAAACCCTGGGGATGCGGCCTCGCAGGTCTCAAACTGATCGGCTGCTAAGCACAACCTGCATATCTCTTGGCTGAGTTCCTTTCTTGGCTCAGTTAGATTTTGCATGACCTAGGAGGCTTAGGACCCAGGGGGCGCCTTTCAGCTGAAAAACAGCTCGCGCTGCAGCAAGCTAGCTGGGAAGCTCCCAGTTCTAAAGAGAGGCTGTTTACCAGAACAGCATAACAAGGGCAGGTCTGACTGCAAGGCTGGGACTGGGAGGCAGAGCCGCCGCCAAGGGGGCCTCGGTTAAACACTGGTCGTTCAATCACCTGCAAGACGAAGGAGGCAAGGATGCTGTTGGCCTGGGTACAAGCATTCCTCGTCAGCAACATGCTCCTAGCAGAAGCCTATGGATCTGGAGGTGAGATTACAATCTTTCCTTTCCGCAGCAACTTCATGAAACAGAAGGGGTAAAGCCCCCTATTTCCCAAACAGGGCCAGGATGACAGGAAACGAAGCGTTTAGCCGGTTTCTGTTGTCCCGTGAAAGCTTTTCCACCCCTCCTTTCCTTGTCAGGGGCTTGCAGCTCCATCTTTGCCATTAAGAACAAAGGCAAGAAGCCACTTTCTCTCTGCCTTTCCTTGCTCATGAGTGGATGGAGCTTGGGGGTTCATCTCCCCTACTCCCCAAGTCCTGTTCTTTCTAAGCCCTTTGCATGGTGTGGTCCTCCTTCCCCAGCCTCCTTCTGTGGTTCTCCTGCAGAGGGGAGTGGGAGCTTGGAGTCTCATCCAGTCAGCGATGAGGCCGGTTTCCTCCGTTTGAGGCTGTCTTGAATCTTTTGCCTGACGGAGTCAAGGCTCCTGGAGAATTCTCCTGGGAGGGAGTATTTGCCTTTTAAACGGGCAGAAGGTGGCCGTATCCGTGAAGGAGGAAACACCGGAGTTTATGTAACGTGGCCATTACAACACAGGGACAAATGTCACGTCTGGGCGCCCCCCGTCCCAAAACTCCCAGCTCCTCAAAGGGACCCTAAGCCAGGCCTCCTCCTCTCCATCTCCTCCTCCAAAGTGGTCACAAGTTCAAGAGTAACAACGCTTTGCACTTCTGCAGCGCTTTCCAGGTTTCAAAAATAAATAAAACCTAACAGTCTCTGAGCGTTGACTGGGGGACAGGCACAGGCTGGGGGCTTCACACCCTGAGGTGTGCGTGGAGTTGGGGGGGGGGGGTGCGTGGGGCGTGGGGGTGTTGCCACGAGAGGAGAGGGAGGCCCAGCAGGGCCCGGGGTCCCCTAACCAGGCTGAGGTTCAGCCCGGGTGGTCCCGGCTCCCCTGTCCGCCACGCTGGGCGTCTTCCGTTCGCTGCCCGCTATTCTGTGTCCGGGGGCTTCTTTTCCTCACAGGCTGTTTCTGGGACAACGGCCACCTGTACCGGGAGGACCAGACCTCCCCCGCGCCGGGCCTCCGCTGCCTCAACTGGCTGGACGCGCAGAGCGGGCTGGCCTCGGCCCCCGTGTCGGGTAAGTGTCCTCCGGGGGACGGCCCCGGGGCTGGCGGGCGGCGGCCGCGTTCCCGGTGCCAGCCCCGGCACACATTTCCTTCTCTCCTCTCTTAGGGGCCGGCAATCACAGTTACTGCCGAAACCCGGACGAGGACCCGCGCGGGCCCTGGTGCTACGTCAGTGGCGAGGCCGGCGTCCCTGAGAAACGGCCTTGCGAGGACCTGCGCTGTCCAGGTACCTGCCCGGGACCCCGGGAATCCCCGCTCCTGGCGCTGACAGGAAGCGGCTGAGACACTCGTGGCGCACGTGCGGCCGCGCGATGCCGGCCGGCCCCGCTCCGCCTCCGCGCCGTCCGATTGGCCAGGGCTGTCTCCAGGCCGCGGGGCTCAAAGCCTATTGGCCGCCGCCGCCACTCGTATGAGCTCATCCGCCGCGAGCGCTTGTAAACAACTGCGCGGGGCGAGGCTGGGGTGAGGCTAGGTCTCTCCGCCGCGCGTCCTGAGGAGTGGCTTTTGGCCCCTCAGCGTTTATTGACCGTTTGCGGAGCGTCTGCAGTGTGCTAGACCCACACTGCTCACAACCCCAGCTCCCCAACCTCCCCTGACACACACCGCGGGAAGAAGTCGTTTGAGGCATCTGAGCTTCAGAGAAGTTAAGCGATTTACCAAAGGCAATGGCAGGGGACAGATTTGAATTCACGTTTCTTAGATTCCAGAGCGCAGGCTTTTTGCTCCCAAAGCAGCAAGAGAGTTTTCTAGGTTTAAATGGGATAATCAAAATAAAGCATTTATTTTTTATTTTTTATTTTTTGAGACGGAGTCTCGTTCTGTCACCCAGGCTGGAGTGCAGTGGCGCAATTTCGGCTCACTGCAACTTCCGCCTTCCGCGTTACAGTGATTCTCCTGCCTCAGCCGCTTGAGTAGCTGGGATAACAGGCGTGCACCACCACGCCCAGCTAATTTTTGTATTTTTAGTAGAGACGGGGTTTCACCATGTTGGCCGGGCTGCTCTCTAACTCCTGACCTCAGGTGATCCGACCGTCTGGCCTCCCAAAGTGCTGGGATTACAGGCGTGAGCCACCGCTCCCGGCACAAAGTAAAACATTTTACCTAAGGACTGGCACAGAGCGTACGCTTAGATGTGAGCTGCTCAAAGGAAGCATGGGTTGTTTCCTGAAGTAGAAGTGGGGGGAATCCCCTGCAGAAGAACGCAACCGAGAGGGGCCTTGGGAAATAGCAAGGATTTGGACAGATAAAGACGTGGGAGGTAGGAGAGAAGCCCTTCCCTACGGCCTTCCTCTCTCATTTGCCTTGTCCCTGAGATGGTTCAGCCCTCTCAGGCCTGATCTTACCTCTGGGGCAGAATTTGACTTTGGGTTGTGTGTGGGGGGAAATTCTTAGGTGACCCACCTTCATCTACCCTAACACTCAGGCCAGGTTCAGCTGTGGAATTCACTCAGGGCAGTCCCTGATGAGAGCTGTTTCCCACCTCATCTCCAGAGACCACCTCCCAGGCCCTGCCAGCCTTCACGACAGAAATCCAGGAAGCGTCTGAAGGGCCAGGTGCAGATGAGGTGCAGGTGTTCGCTCCTGCCAACGCCCTGCCCGCTCGGAGTGAGGCGGCAGCTGTGCAGCCAGTGATTGGGATCAGCCAGCGGGTGCGGATGAACTCCAAGGAGAAAAAGGACCTGGGAACTCTGGGTATGACGGTCCCCCACCCCTGCCCTCGTTGGGATTCATCAAGAGATGTCATTTGCTGATTGTCTAGGGTGTGGCTAATGGGACCTTGTGTCCTATCCTTGGCAGGCTACGTGCTGGGCATTACCATGATGGTGATCATCATTGCCATCGGAGCTGGCATCATCTTGGGCTACTCCTACAAGAGGTCAGTAGCTTCTCTTCTGGGCCCTCTTAGGAGGAGGGGAGGAAGGTACACAAAGTCAAACTTTGTGGCTTTCTTACCCAAAAGGAAGCAAGATGTTGAAAATCAGCTCAAGATGTAGAGACTTGGTCCTAGTCTTTATCTGCTGACCTTGGACAAACCCTTTCCTTTGGTGCCTTTACACCTCACTTAAAAGCCTTGTGAGGGATGTTCTTGTTCCGCATTTTACAAATGAAGAAGCCTCTGTCAGAGACTTGCTCAAAGTCACATAGCCTAGGAGTGGCAGAACCTGGATTCAGACCCAGCTCTTTTGATAGCAAATTCCCTGCTGTCTGATCCCACATGCCTGGCATTGAAGTGAGTGGCACTGCAGAAATCAGGCTTGACACTGATTGCAGGGACCTTAAGACCAAATTCTTTCTGTGAGTTATAAAATTCTGCTACTAGAAAAGGTTTCCAGCCACTGTTGCAGTTGAGGCTTAAATTTCCTGAGCTATAAGCAGTGGGATCTCCTCTGCTAGGGAAGAAAAAAGTGAGTTGGAGAACAGAAAGTCTGTTTGCCACTCTTCACCACGTGTGAGAAAGCCAAAGAGGCTACTTGTGAAACTCAAGGACATGACCTGTGGCTGGGACAGCAGGAGAAGAATGCTTATTTTGAAAGGTCCCACGAGATGTCCGTCAGTGACTGGTGCATGATGGTAAGCCAGACTGGCATTCATCTTTACAGCACTGGCTGATTGTGGAAAATTATTTGCCATTCTTGGGCAAAATCGGGGGATTTGACTTCTAGCCCTGGGTGTCTGTAATATTCTCCTCTGTGGTCTGAGAAAACTTCCTGTGAGGAAAGTGACACAGTAGCCTGCATTTTTCCTTCCTTTCCTCCCTCCCTCCCTCCCTTCCTTCCTTCCCCTTTCTTTCCTTCCTTTCTTTGATTTTTTTTTTTCAGGGTCTCGCTCTATTGCCTAGGCTTGAGTGCAGTGGTGCGATCACGGCTCACTGCAGCCTCAACCTCCCAGGGCGCAAGTAATTACCCCCACCCACCCCCACTGAGTAGCTGGGACTACAGGCATGTCCCACCATGCCTGGCTGATTTTTAATTTTTTTATAGAGACAGGGTCTCACTGTGTTGCCCAGGCTAGTCTCAAACTCCTGGGCTCAAGCAGTCCTCCTACCTCAGCCTCCCAAAGTGTATAGGCATGAACCACCATGCCTGGCATGCAGCCTGCATTTTCCAGTGATGAGGGCCATGTCTGAGCCCACAGCCTCAGTGGATCACCCAGCAGGGCATCTTTAAAGGCCTTGTAGTCAACCTCCTCATTACAGATGAAAAAGGGGAAGTTTGGGTATAATAATAACAGCAGTAGCAAACATGTACCGTATGCCAGACACTGCTTGAAGCACATGCTTTAACTCATAATCACCCTTATGAGGTAAATGCTGTCATCTCCAATTTACAGATGAGGAAACTGAGGCAAGAGGGGATTATATACGTTACCTGAGGTTACACACCTAGCATTTGGTGGAGAGAAGTCCTTTAACTAGCTATCTCTGTGACCCTGGGCAAATTGCTTCAATTTCCTACTCCACATCATGGTGTGGAGCTATGGCTTTTGACTACTTAGCTCAGGGTGTGGCACATAGTAGGTGGTCAGTAAATGATGGCTGTTTTTCTTTTCTATAAAATGTGTGGCTGGGCGTGGTGGCTCACACCTGTAATCCTAGCACTTTGGGAGGCCGAGGCGGGCAGATCATGAGGTCAGGAGTTCGAGACCAGCCTGGCCAACATAGTGAAATCCTGTCTCTACTAAAAATACAAAAAATTAGCCAGGCGTGGTGGCGGGCACTTGTAATCCCGGCTACTTGGGAGGCTGAGGCAGGAGAATCGCTTGAACCTGGGAGGCTGAGGTTGCAGTGAGCCGAGATTGTGCCACTGCACTCCAGCCTGGGCGACAGAGCCATACTCCGTCTCAAAAAAAAAAAAAAAAAAATGTAGGTAATGGACCAGGCGTAGTGGCTCACACCTGTAATCCTAGCACTTTGGGAGGCAGAGGTGGGTGGATCGCTTGAGCCCAAGAGTTCGAGACCAGCATGGGCAACATGGCAAAACCCTGTCTCTACAAAAAAATACAAAAATTAGCCAGGCATGGTGGTGGGCGCCTGTAGTCCTAGTTACTAAGGAGGCTGAGATGGGAGGATCACCTGAGCCTGGGAAGTCGCTATGGTGAGCCATGATTGTGCCACTGCACTCCAGCCTGGGTGACAGAGTGAGATGCTGTCTCAAAAAAAAAAAAAAAAAAAAAAAAGTGGGTAATGGACTAGTACTCTCTGATTTCTTATGATGCAGGAAGCAGAGGTCCAGAGAGGGAAAGTATTGACTTGAGAGGACATCCTGACGCCCAGTCTGAGGTTGTTTCCCACAATGGGATGCTTGACATGCAGGTCCAGGGACACCTGCTTGTTCATTTCAGAGTTAATGACATAGTGGCCCTGGCCTTACAATTCATAAGCAGACCTAAGCCACATTGGCTGAGTTTAGTCCTTGAACTATCTCCTTTTTCCTCAGCCACCCAACAGCATTTGGCTGTCCTGCAATCCTGTGACAGTTTCCAGGCCTTCCAGGTGCTTGAACTGACTAAACATTCTTAATTCTGAGCTCAGTTCTGGTGTCCAGTGGAAGTCTTTTTTCTTCTAGATTTGTTCCTCTAGGCTGTCACGAGACTGCCCTGAGGCCTAAAATTTATTTTCCTGTAAACTCAGGGCAAGGCACCCAGTCATCAGACTCCCCGTCACTAACGACCAGATCACCCCTTTCTTCAGCAGAACTGCTCTGAGAACAGACTGTACAACAGGAAACCGCATGTGGGCTTAAAAACAAGCTTGCAGCCTTCATCTCTTCCTAAAGTCAGAGAGCAGAGTGTCCTGAAAAGAGCTGTAGGTTGAGTGTGGGTTCAGGTGCCCTCTGAGCCTTGGTATCTTGTCTGTTAAATGGGGATATATCCTCCCTCCACATCTACCCATCTAAGATTATAAGTATTAAATGTAAACAGAAACAATAGCACACCAATCAGGTAATAATCACAATAGCAGCCAACATTTATTTCATGCTTTCTTAATAAGTAAGGCCCTACTGTATGCTCTTCCCTGATTATCTTTTTTTCTTAATTTTTTTTTTTTTGAGACAGAGTCTCGCTGTGTCGGCTCACTGCAACCGCCGCCTCCTGGGTTCAAGTGATTCTCCTGCCTCAGCCTCCCGAGTAGCTGGGATTAGAGGCACCCGCCACCATGTCCTGCTAATTTTTGTATTTTTAGTAGAGACGGGGTTTCACCATGTTGGCCAGGCTGGTCTTGAACTTCTAACCTCAGGCAATCCACCCGCCTCGGCCTCCCAAAGTGTTGGGATTATAGGCATGAGCCACTGCACCCAGCCTCCTGATTACCTTGACTAAGCCTCACAACCACACTAGGAGCACTGTTAGATTTTACAGTGAGGAGCTGAGACCTAGCAGAGTTAAGTACAATGGCCAGGCTACACAGCTAGTAATGTATGTCTGAGGAGTATTAGTATCTCCAGCAAGTCCAGTGAGGCCAAGTAGCCTCATGTAAATTTGCTTTGAATTGCAAAGGAAAGTAGGAAAAATAGAAATTTAAAAAAAGGCTGGGTTTAAAGTCAGAAGAAACAAGATCTAGTTCTGGAACTTTCACCTATTCTGGATGTGACACTGGACAAGTTATTTACCTTCTCTGGACCTCAATTTCTTCATCTGTACTGTAAGGGGGTTAGATATGGTGATACTCCCAACTCTATTTCCTAAAAAGACAATATTGCCGGTGCTAAGACTGGGTTCAAATCCCAGCTCTGCCATTTGCTTGAACAAATAGTGTAACTTCTCTGCATCTGCCTTCCTATCTATGAAACAGATCAAAATAGATACCACATAGGTTGTGAGGATGAAATTGGACAGTATAGTTTAGGCATACAATTGGTGTTCTATAGCC